>NC_000002.12:4252424-4555454 GCF_000001405.40 Homo sapiens | reverse complement strand
GCCAAAGTGCCCCATAGGTTCTATTGAGGGTAATTTCCTTTTCTTCTTCATATATTTTTTCAATAAATGTATGAAAAATTCACAAAATTAAAATTAATTTTTAAAAAGTTTAAAATTTTCATCTATGAGATACATGCCATTTTAAAATTTTCTATACTTTATAGATATTATTCTATATTGTTATCATTAATTTTAACAACTTATCTGCATAGATTAAAAAGCAAAAGTCTATTTTACATGCATCCAGCCTCACTGCATCCCAATGGGAATCCCTATCAGAAGCTGCCTCTGGTCCTAGATGTCCCCTTCTGTACCCTCTGCTCAAGTTTATTCCATTCCCGCATGGTCACCCTCCTGGCCTCTTCCCATTTGCCATTCACTGGGATCATTGATCTAGTGTTTAACTCCACACTTTCAGGAAATGATGCCTCAAGAAATGTCTAACTGAGGCCCTGCACTGGAGCCTTGGGAGAGGAGTTCAGGTCCCTGCCTAGACCCAGAGTCTTGGGCCCCCTAGAAGAAAGAATGAGAACAACTCTTATTTCAGCGCATCTGCACCACAAATATGGGACTTGGATGCCAAGGCAGAGAATCCTAATGTTTCTTGTGGGCAAGGTGCTGGGCAAGTGCTAAGCTGTTCCATAACATGCAAACCCTGCAAAAATATGCAGCCCTGGTGTCTCCGGGTCATGGGATCTCCATTTCCTGATGGTAAGGCTGAGATATGGAGTGTGAAACAACTTTGCTCAACTCTTAGGGGCAGGAAGTGCCTGAACTGGCAAGAAAGCCCAAGTCTTTAGGTTCCTGATTGTTTTTCTCTACACATTAAATATGGGATATATACAGTTAAAATATGGGACATTTTGGTAAATATGTACTTCAGATAATCAGCAGGTAATATTATTTTGGAGTTAATATGTCCTGTACAGTATGTCTATGCAAGCTTGCAAGACAGTCCTCACCAGGAACTGAATCAGCAGGTACCTGGATCTAGAACCTCCAGCCCCCAGAGCTGTGGGAAATAAATATCTGTTGTTGAAACCACCTAGTCTGTGGTATCTTGTCATGGCAACCTGAACAGACTAATTCATTTATATTAAAAACTAAAAAAGTCACTTCGGGAGGCCAAGGCAGGCGGATCATGAGGTCAGGAGATCTAGACCATCCTGGCTAATATGGTGAAACCCTGTCTCTACCAAAAATACAAAAAGAAAAAAAAAAAAAAAAAAAAAAAAAATTAGCCGGGCGTGGTGGCGGGCGCCAGTAGTCCCAGGTACTCGGGAGGCTGAGCCAGGAGAATGGCGTGAACCTGGGAGGCGGAGTTTGCAGTGAGCCGAGATCGCTCCACTGCACTCCAGCCTGGGCGACAGAGCGAGACTCCGTCTCAAAAAAAAAAAAAAAAAAAAAAAAAAGCACACACACACACCAAAAAATAAACAAAAACTAAAAAAGTATCCATCATTTATCTGATATTAAAATGTAGTGGGAAGTCATCTAATGTGATTGATTCACTAAATTAGGCATCTATCTTATTGCCTACACCTCTAGTATGAATCAAAAATAGATGATCTTGGGGCTTTGTGTAGAGGGCAGAGGGTTAGAAACATAAAAAATAAATTTATGATGGGGGATTGTTTGTATGTGAAACTAAGATTGCCTCATTTGCTGTGTTCTAAAAGCAGTGCTCAGATTATTATTTTACATGTTCTGGCCCCTTTTCACTTTCATGTTTTAGTGTAAATGGTTAAAAACTGAACTTAGCTTCAGTGTAGCAGTGTATTTGGCTACACGCATACATTCCAGAAGCTAATTTACCAAAGCAAGAGAGAGAGCCGTCAAGGAAAGGTTATACACTGCTTTGGAGACAGAACAGTTCTAACAAACACCCTGGGTTTTATTGTGATGCCACACTCGGTGTCGATGCAGTAGACCTCAAGCTTTTTATACATGAAGCCTGCTTGGGAACGTGGCGAAGCACACAGACCTCCCACGTGGACATCGCCTTGGGCGGCTGCCTGCTTGCAATGCTCCATGGATGATTCTGGGGCAGCTCTTCCACACATCTCACTTCGGCAAGACAGTGCTAGGGAACACCCCGCAAGCACAGCCAAATGATGAGACGCTTCCGTGCATACATAATGCAACTCGCCTAAGTAAGAATTGACTCGGATAACTGGTACAACACGTGCCAAAATAAATACGAGGCTTAGAGAAAACAGCATGCCCAAGTGTCTGATTTACTATTTTCATGCGGGGAAGAAAAGAACAAGGGCATTTCTTATTTAAGCAGTTTTTAGCAGTATTTGCCTAAAATAATCTTCCAATTTGGCATTACATTTAAACGGTATGAAATGCTGAAAGGCCTTACGCCTTATGTAGGACAGGTAGGACAGTTGCAGAAAATGACACCGGAAAAGTTGAGAAGGTCACTGAGCTTCTCATTTATGCGGCAGGTATTGGAGTCAGGACTGGACTTCAGACTCCAAATTCAATGCTTTTCAACACCGTTTCCTGTTCCTCACCAAGTGGACACTTTGGGAGTATCACGGTGCTTTGAGAAAAGATAAGGCTTTGAAACCAAAAAATGCTACATTTAAATGAGGTTCCACCATTTATTAACTGGCCAATTCCAAACAACTTAATAAACTCCCCTGAGTCTGTCAATTCGGCTTGGAGTCACTCTTTCAGCATAGACCAAGCTTCTACAATTAAGAGCTAAAAAGTTAAGCCTTCTCCTTCGTGGAATGTTCCTTTGGTTTCACAAAATGGTTTTGAATATTAAAAATAAAACTCTTAAAACAATTAATGGGCTTTGTAGGGATACATATGCATTCTGTCGTCTACATCAACTCTTTAAGCAGAGATATAATATTGGGTGGCAGGGCATAATTAATATTTATTTCTAGGAAGATACTTTGGAAAACCAGCGCTGCAATATGTTTCTGTTCACATTTTATGTGATGGGAGCTTCCTTCGTGATGCTGCACATAACAGGAAGAGCAACGAGAGCAAAACAAAACCAAAATGAAAATCTTTGAAATCATTAGTTCATATGAAAATAAGCCACTTATCTGTTGCTGGTACTTTCATTTGTTTCTATTTAGACTTTTCGGATAACTCAGCGGGCAGCAGAGACACCTCTGAGTCATCCCTTTTATGATGAGATAGGCAACACAGAATCATTTTTTTCTTTCACCTTGTCTCAACATTATAGTTGATGGGAACACATATCTGTGGCTGCCTGGAAGAATGAATCTGTCAGGCTGCCCTCATTGTACCGTTATTAAAGAGCTTAAGATCTTTAAGATGAAAAAAAATATATTCTGAGCAGTGGCTCGTGTTGGGGAATATGTTCAAACACAGAAAAGAAGCACTGGGGAAATCAACATTTTTTACTCTATCAGCAGTGTATTTATATTCCAGAAGATTAAAAGTTGCAGTCTCTGCAGTTGTCATTTTCTACCATCAAAGTTAAAACATAACAGCAGTTCAGAAGGAAGTATCAAAATATTCCTCCCTCGGCCTGCTGGCATCGAGCCTGCCCTTGGTGTGGGATTGCAGGCACCATGAAAGCAGGTGTGGCCATTCATTGGGCAAAGATCCTAGCCGGGCACCAGGCTGTGACACTTCAGAGAAAAGTGCATTCGAACTGGGAACTCTTTTGCCATAAAGGGAAAGCTCCTCTCTGAATGTCATCCTTTCCTGAGATGCAGAATTTCTTCAGCCTGAAAATGTATAAGATCTGACTTCAAAAAACACAGAGTTCCCTTTCTTTCCATGCCATCAGTGGTTTGCTGGAGCCAGCTCATACTGCTATAGGAGCCATTTTTTTTCAGTTTTTAAGAATTTCGTAAGTCAGTTGCTAAACACCAGAATTATTAAAAACTTAAGGTATCTAAACTTCAGTTAAATAAACTATATTAAAAGGAAACACATTGACTATTCAAGTACATCAATTCCTAATTATTATAGTAAATTTTTACTATTACCTATGCTTTTTAGGTTATTTGTATGTTTCATATGTATGAAGTAGAAATACTGTATAATGGGGCACTCATGAATATCTCTTCTCAATTTGTCATTTGATAATTTTCTTTTGTTAGCTGCAAACTGGCTATGGTAAGAATATTTTCACCATGGAAATTGGCAACTGATACAAATGTAACTATTTTCCTCAAGGACTGGTTATTAAATATTTACCGGTACAATTCTGATGCCATCACTTTAGTTAAAATACTATCACTTTTGCATTATACATGCTAATAGAAAAGAATTAAGTGCTAACTACTTTTAGTAGACAAGTTCTAAAATAATTTTGGTTGGCTTCAGGTAGTAGGTAAAGAAGATAGGATACTTCCTCTGCCTCTGTCATAGGCAGACACACATAAACAAACGTTTTATGTCTTTTCTTATCTCATTTTTTGAATCCCCTTAGAGATACCATTACTTTTTCCACCTAGTGAATTTTTATTCTTGATGTAAGAGCTAGCTCAGTTGTCCCTTTCTGTGAAAGCATTTTCCACACTTACAGGCAAACTCTGAAAGTTCATACCTTTGTGTTAAATTCTCAACGAGTTCTACTCTAGCATTTCCATTTAAAATTGTAACTGGCCATGATCGCCTCTTCTTGGCACGCTGTTTTCCTCTTAATCTACTTTGTCATTTATTTTATATGGCACTTATGATCTTCCTACCCATATGGAATTTACTTTTTTAATCATGTCTATTTCAGGTTCGATGAAGGCAAGGAATTCTAGTTTTCTTACATATCTCACATGCCTAAAACAGTGCTTAGCATATAGTAGATACTCAATAAATTGTTGAAAACTGAACGAATTAAATTTGGAAGATGGTGTGTGAAGTTGAGTTCCAGAGTGGGACAGGTCATCACTAACTCTGTGGCTTGGGCAAGTTATAGAAACTCTCTGTGTTTCATTTCACTGAGTAGTTATAAAACTGAGATTTTATTCACACACACACACACACACACACACAATGAGATAATATTAATATATGTGATGTATATAGCCTTAACCTCATTGACTAACATCTTGTACATACTCCAAAAGTGTTACTATTATTTCCTCTCACCGAGTCTTTCTTTCCTCGTGGACTTAATTAGTTATTAATCAAAGGACTACGCACAGCATTAGCTCTGTGACAGTCTATTTGCCAAAATGGTGAGTTGCCTCGTCCTCTGCGACAAGCAGACAGAATCAGACTTGACAACGCAGGGAATTTGGGGAGGAGTTATAGCTGGATTGCCATGGACAACCTGCTCAGAGGATAATGCGTTTTCAGCCAAGATGATGAAGCTCACTGTAGCAAACTGTGATTTGGCCCACTGCTGTAGCCTCTGCCAGTCTCCCAAGGATCTCATATGGAAAAGCAACTCACACGGTGATTAACCTTGAGATTTCAATTATAGATGAACTAAGGAAATGCCTGACGACCTGTCTTAGATTCTTAAACATGAGACACCCAAACATTTAAAAAAAGAGTCTTAAATTATTCAAATACCAGCCTTTGGGAGTGCAAGGATTTTGAGTCTTTTCTCATGTTGGGTGGTGCAGTGAGGCATGACGCGTGATGCACTGAGCCGTGAACATCCGTGGTGGGAGGTACGCTGGAAGCATATTGGGGAAAGCTTCACATGCTGCTTCCAGTAGGTACAGTAAGACAGGGGTTTCTGTCAATGGTTCACCTCCACCTGAGAGCCAAATTCATTTGAACTGCCTCTGTGGAGTTCTTACTTTCTACTACATCCATTCAAGAAAAAAAAATTTAAAGACACATTATCCCTCATTTTATTTACTGATAAGCGTTATATTTCATTCACTTAATAAATAATGACATTCTTCCAGGCCTAATAAGAATGATACTTCCTATAATATATCAACCACATGATAATTTTTGAAAATAAATTCCCTGGAAATACTCCTTCCGATAGAGTAGAAAGACTGGACCGCAAAAGTAATTTAAAAGTTTCATTGTGGGTTCTTTTCCTCTGTAATCTGTATAGTAAATTTATGAATAGGAAATCCTTCTAAAATATTGCAGACTTCAGAAATATCTGAGAACAGTCTGTGAAGCATGACTGACCTGATAAGTGACAGATAATATGATGGGATCTTGAGCTTCCCATGTGCTCCTTGTGGTCTGAAATATCTCTATTTTGTCCAAAGTAAGGCACAGGAAATTTAATCCTATTTCTTCTTAGTTTGCATAGTAGAGAGTATCTCTGAAACGTTGGGAAATTTGTTAAAAATTATTTTGTTACCTTTGCCCATCCAAGTGTGGCAACAGTAGCTGTTTAGGTTAAGATAAAACACAACATCCAAGGCCTAAAGGAACAACAATTCTGGTAGAAAACCTGATCGCTAACATGAATGTCATCTGCATGGAGGCAAGGAGAGATCAACAAGGTCTCTGACACTTAATGAGTGCCTCTCACCTGACAAGTGTCTCAATGTACTATCTCAGCTGGTCCTCCCAACAACACCCCGAGGTATATGTAATCATCCATATTTACAGCTGATACAGTCTAGAAAGCTAAGAAAGCAGAGCTCAAGACAAAGCTTATATGTCAATAAATTGCCGGGAGCAATCCTAGGGCAATGATTTAGACAGCAAAAAGGAACTGAAGTAAGGAATAAGGGCAAACCAATTCCAGGAAGTGCATCCCTTAGTTCCTACAAGTTTGGCAGAAACTCTAGCAAGCTGCTCGATCACAAACGGCATCTCAAAGGCAGGAAATTCACCCATTGTGCATATTTGGTGAATTCATATATAGTGATGAAAGTTACACGGGTAACTAATACATGACAGATAAATAGCTACATGAATAGAGTAACATGCATCCAAGTGACAGCTTGGTAATCTGAGTTTTATTTAAGTATAACTCTGTAAAACAGATGTGTTAAGAGGTTTTCATCATTAATTTGTGATAAGAAGCTTGGGGGACAGTCTGTGTATGGCAGAACCAAGGATAAAATATTGGAAAATTAAGACAGCAAAACTATTTTCAATGTTTTCTTATTCTTTTATATAGAGAGGGCAAACTTATTTTCTGAGTGCTAAGGAGCATAAACATCTTTCCCATTTTCCACTTTGTAGAGTGATAACATAAAATAAAAATAAATCACAGAAGTTTAACATTTCTTAACTAGGGACAGATTGCCAGATATGAATATGTCACGAGAACTCTATGAGCTCTGTGCCGAGGGAAAGAAAGCTGACTGAAATATGCTCTTTTGAGATCCTAGAAATTCTAAATATTCTCAGGCCACTAATAATATGGATTAGGTATAAAAATTCATCTAAAAAGGAAGTGAATGAAAAGAGGATTTAATAGATATATTTAAACAGAGATTGAAACGGTGCAGCCAATGTGATGGACAATAGACTGTTCTCTGTAGCTTTCTTGTGTTGACTTTTCTCATCGAATCTCAGAACAATTGTTTTTAAACTTTTGATTTTGAATAACTTTAGACTTACATAAAAGTTACAAAAATCATGGAGATAATTTCGATACAGCCTTTCCTTATCTTCCCCTAGCACTAACATCATATCTGACCATCGTATAATAATCAAGGCAAGAAATAAACATTGATACAATACTAGTAACTAAACTACAAACCTTATTCAAATTTCCAACCAAATTCAGGTTCCCAGGTTCCCAGCTGACATTTACCTATTAGGTATCCTTCATATCTTACATCATAGGACAGGTCTTATGTCTGTTTTAGTCTTTGGTGACCTGAACACTATTAAAGAGGATTAGCCAGTTATTTTTTGAAACATTCCTCAATTGCAATTTGCCTGATGCTTTCTCATGAGTACTGAAGCTATGAATTTTTGGCAGGAAATCTAGAGAATTGTCAATGCATCCTTCTCAGTATATCATATCAGGAGTTAAATTATATCAATATGTTTCATTGCTTGTGATGTTAACTTCGATTACTGGTTGAGGTGGTATCTACCAGAATTTTCCATCATAAAATTACCATTTTACATGCTATAATTAATAAGTACCTCATGGAAAGCTCCTTAGATCTATACACATATTTGGTTTTCATCAGACTTTTTACCTACTAATGTTAGCATCTCTCTTGGTGATTTTATTTATTCATTTATTTATTTATTTTGTCACTCTCTCACTAGGCTGGAGTGCAGTGTTGTGACGTCAGCTCGCTGCAACCTCGGCCTCCTGGGTTCAAGCAATTCTCTTGCCTCAGCCTCTCAAGTAGCTGGGATTACAGGTGCCCACTACCGCGTTTAGCTAATTTTTGTATTTTTAGTAGAGATGGGGTTTCACCATGTTGGCCAGGCTGGTCTTGAACTTTTGACATTTCAGGTGATCCGCCCACCTCAGCCTCCCAAAGTACTGGGATTACAGTGTGAACCACCATGCTTGGCCTCCTGGTGATTCTTGATTGAACATTAGTACCACAGTGTTTGAAAAATAATGATTTTCTGTTTTTATAATTTATGCTACATTTAATTGAATTCCACTGTAAGGAAAAGCTGTCCTTTCCCCTACATTTGTTCATACAATTATTTTTTGCATAAGTATAAACTCATGAATATTAATTTTATTCTATGGATTATAATCTATATAATCATGTCTATTTATTTAGTGGCTCAAATTATCTTTAGTTTGCCCATATGGATCTCTTTCAGGTTAAATCTTACTATCCTATCTTTTCTTGTTTGTTGTGTTTTTTTAGCATTTTCTTAGTTTCTGACACCACAAAATATTTCGGATTTATTTTATATTTTCTCTGCTCCAGCCCTAGAATCAATTATTCCTCCAAGGATCCCTGACTTCTGTTATTGAAATCCAAAATATTGTTGCTAGCTGTGGTCATTGCCACTGGGGTGTCATTGATTCTAGACCTTTGTAGACAGAAGTAGGAAATATATGAAAGTATACTCACACTTGCAGATAGATGTTAGATATAGATACAGATAGCTACATAGATAGATAAACAATGAATCATAGATAATATATAGATAAGTAATAGATAAATGACATATAGTTAGCATAAGTTCATCCTGATATTGTTTTACTGTTGATTCAAATCACAGGATTCATTTGACCGTTTATCCCTTTCTTACGCATAACTGTATTGTTTGACAAAGTGAAACCTGACTCTCACCATTAACAATATATTTACCTATTTGCTTAATCTTAGTTAATGTATAAAGTATGTTCAGAATCACTAACCAATACTCCTGTGAAAAACAAATTTACTGTCTGGAGTACGATATTTGTGTACAATTTCTTTTGTTTTTAGCCTCACATTATCTAGCCAAGATACTCTTCCAAAATTACTGAGATTCGTACTTTTCTTAACCACTCCCTTTAGCAGGGTTTTGTTATCCATTTATAACAGAGTTGATTTCAAACCTATTGTGCTTATTCCATTTTATGCTCTCTCAGTATCCTTGTATATTTTATGTATGTATGTATGTATATATCTAGAATGTATATAAGATATTGCTGTAGTCCTAGGAGTCAAAGCTATACAAAAGGGAATACTCACAATAGTAGCACTCCTTCCTAATACCCCATTACCCTTCTCTAATCTTTCCATAGTCTTTCCAACAACCCTTGGATGCAACAAATCTCATTCATTTCTGGTTCTTCCTTTATGTGTTTATTTTGCATAAATGAGTTAATGCATATACATTTTCTCATAGCTCTTTCTTTGTTATATGAAATGTGATATACTATAGAAACAATGTTGGGTTTTGCATTTTTAATTTTTGTAAAAATAAAAATATATCCTTTAAAACACTACCAATTCGTTAATTGAGCTGTTCTTTGTGCATATTTATAGTTGCATGATACACCACTGGTTACATTTACCACAGTTTATTTAATAACTCTCCTATATTTGGGCATTTAGGTTGTTTCCCATATTGTGATAGCAAACAATGCGACAATGCATATGAAGTTTTGCATTTTTACAGATTTTTTGAAGAGTAGATTCATAGAACCTACTTCTATGTTTAGTCAAGAGGTAAGTGAATGCATAATCTTAAGTATTGTGAGATTCCCGTCCAGAAGGTTGTACCAGTTTGCATTCCCACCAACTATGTATGAGAGCACCAATATCGTAGAGCCTCACCAACAGAATGTGATATCATATAGCTTTTTTATTTTAATGGCTTTATGGTATATTTTAGTGTCTGGTAGGGCTAGGGCCCCAACCTACATTGTCTTATCTTCAGTGTTGCATGACTACTTTTGCATAATTTTTAACCCATGCAAACTTTAATATGAACATGTCTAGCTTTGTATAAATCAACTCTACCTCATAATTGGAGTTGCAATAAATGTATAAATTATTATAGGAAAAACTGGCAACATCATAATGTTGGGGTTTGCGTCCAAGAAAACGTTTAATATTCTATTTGCTTAATTCCATTTTTGTGTGATTCATTAGTGCTTTAAGATTTTTCTCATATAGGATTTCAACATTTATTTATAAGCTTATTCCTAAGTAATTACTCTTAGTTGCTATTGTAAATGGAAAATTCTTTACTATTATGACCTAGTGTCTAAGTCCTCCTCAAGGTTTATACATCAAAATCAAATCCTCAGTGCAATGGTGTTAAAAGGTGGTGGCTTTGGGGGTGATTAAATCATGGTGGTGGAGCCCTCATGAATGGGATTAGCGGCCTAAAAAAGAGGCCCCAGGGAGATCCTTGCCTCTTCTGCCATGTGAGGACACAGAGAGAAGGCCGTGTATATGAGCCAGAAAGCAGGTCCTCACCAGACAGTGACTCTGCCTTGATGCTGGGCTTCCCAGCTTCAGAGTTGTGTGAAATAAATGGTTATTGTTTATAAGCTGACATGTTTATGGTAGTTTGCTATAGAAGCCTGAACAGACTAAAATGGTGGAGTAGCAATTCCTCCTGCATCACTTAAAGCCCAGACCTCTTCTCACTTCTTGTTCCTTCATTTCCAGGGTCTGTCTTCCATCTGTAGACCTGAAAATGGCACCATCACATCTGGTTTCAGACACTGGAGAGGAAAACATTTTTTAACAGGAGCCGTGATAAGTTTCATATATAATTTTGATTCATATTCCACTGGGGGGAAATCTATTCATAATAATTCATGCTCTTATATTGATTGAGCAAGTACTGTGCTCAAAACTTTCCTGGGGCCTGATGGAATATAATGAGAAAGGGCTAGATGAGGTCTTTGACTACACTGATTCTGTATACTGTCACTAACTGATACCATGGGGACTATTTCAAGTGGAATCTCACTCAGCAGTAGGCAAGCATCTATGATGGAGAGAGCACAAGCCAAAAGTTTTGCTAAAGAGCAGCCTTCGGAAAACTCTGATTCTACCGACCAAATGTGTGTACCTCTATTCATGTTGAAACCTAATTCCACAATCTGAGGGTATTTGGAGGTGGGGCCTTTTGGAGGTGATTAGGTCATGAGGATGGAGCCGTCATGAGTGTATTCATATTCTTATAAAAGAGGCCTGGAGAGACTCCCCATAGCCTTCTTTCATATGAGGTTACAGGGAGAAGATGGCCACCTATGAGAAAATGGGCTGTTACCAGATACCCAAATATGCCAGCAACTTGATCTTGGACTTCCCAGACTCCATAACTGTAAGAAATAAATTTCTGTTGTTTATAAACCATCCAGTCTATAGTATTTTGTTATAGCTGCCCAAATGGACTGAGACAGGAAATTATTACCAAAAGTGGGGTGCTACTGCAATGAATACCTAATATGTGGAAGTGGCCTTGGCACTGGGTAATAGACAGAGGCTGTATAAGTTTAGAAGTGCATGCTAGTAAAAGCCTACATTGCCATGAGTGATGATATGGTTTGAATCTCTGTCCCCACCAAGTCTCATATAGAATTGCAAATCCGCAGTGTTGGACCTGACTGTGAGGCCTGGTGGGAGGGGAGAGGACCATGGAAGTGGTTTTCATGAACAGTTAGCACCATCCCCCTTGGCACTGTTTGATTTTGATTGTGAGTGAGCTCTTGTGAGATCTGGTCATTTTTAAGTGGCAAGTCTATACAATTTTAAGTAAAGTCTTAAGCTTTTAATGTAAAGTCTACATACTTTTAAGTGTGTAGCACCTTTCCTCACCCCTTGCTCCTACTCCTGTCATGTAAGACATGCCTGCTCCACTTTACCTTCTGTAATAGTTCATTTTCATACTGGTATGAAGAAATACCTGAGACTGGGTAATAGATAAAGGGAAAGAGGTTTAAGGGACTCACAGTTCCACATGTCTGGGGAGGCATCACAATCATGGGGAAAGGCGAAGGAGGAGCAAAAATACATCTTACATGGCAGCAGGCAGGAGAGCATGTGCAGGGCATCTGCCCTTTATAAAAACATCAGATCTTGTGAGGCTTATTCACTACCACAAGCACAGTGCAGGAAAAAACCCACTCCCATGATTCATTTACCTCCCAACAAGTCCCTCCCATGACACATGGGGATTACAGGAGCTACAATTCAAGATGAGATTTGGGCAGGGACACAGCCAAATCATATCAACTTCTCCCATGATTGTATGTTTCCTGAGGCCTCCCCAGAAACTGAACATATGCCAGCATCATGCTTCCTGTACAGTCTACAAACCTGTGAGCCAAAGAAACCTCTTTTCTTTATAAATTAGCCAGTCTCAGGTATTTCTATATAGCAATGTGGGAACAGACTAACACAAATGGACTGTTACAGGTAATTCTGAAGAAGGCTCAGAAGGAGAGGAGGAGAGCTGCAGAGAAATCCGAACACATGGGTAATCCTGAACAGAATTTGGGTAGAAAAATGGACAGTAAAAGACATTCTAATGAGCTCTCTTACGAAAATGAGAAATGAGCTATTAGGCGATGGAGAAAAAGCTATCCTTGTTATAAAATGACAAAGGATTTGGCTGAATTGTGTTTATGCACTAGTATTTTGTGGAATGTAAAATTTGTGAGTGATAAAATTGTGTGTTTTCCTGAGGTAATATATAAAAACAAAGTGTTGAAGTAGCAGCCTGGTCCCTCTTGACAATAAATAGTAAAATGTGAGAAGAAAATAATGATTAATAGACAGAATTGTTATCAAAATGGAAGCAGAACTTAAAGTTTTGTAACATTATCAACATATTCAAATTGAAAAGAATTACAGTCTGTTTGTCATAGAATACAAACATGTGGCTCATTCTGATAAGGAAGTTCCTCAACCATCTAAAAAGAAGCCAGGAACTATTGTTCAAGACAATAAAATAATCACCTTAAAGTCAATTCCAAGATCATCAGGGCTGCCTCTCCACTCATTGGCCCAGACTGTAAAATCCCCCAAAAGCATGGAGCCATTGCACAGAGCTCCATTAGACCAATGTCTAGTGGAGCCATGGGATGGGGCTCCAACATGAGGGTTTTGGGAAGCAGGGCCTTTGGGAGATGATTAGGTAATGATTGTGGAGCTTCATGAATGGCATTAATGCTTTTATAAAAGGGGCCCCAGAGAGATGCCTTGGCTCTTCTTCTGTCATGGGGGGACACAATGAGAAGACTGCCATCTGTAAGGAATGGGCCCTCGCAGACACCATTATCTGCTGGCTCCTTGATCTTGGACTTCCTACTCTCTAGAAAAGGAGAAATAAATTTTTTTGTCATTTATAACCTACCTAGTTTATGGTGTTTTGTTATGGAAGCCCTAATGGACACAATATGAAGCTTTTAATTTCTGTATAGTAATTTTATATCATGCTACCATAGTAACTTTTATTGAGTTATTTTTATTATGGATTATTTAGAATTTTCCAGGTAAAACTCTTACATCAACGGCATATTAAAATAGCTTTATTTCTTCCTCACCAATTCTTATGTATCTTATTGATTTTTCTTGTCTCTTCCATTGACCTTAAGGGTTGAATAGTAGTAAAGGTAGAAATTATTCTTTCCTTTCCCTGTTCCTGAACTTAGGGAATTGTCTCTCCACTTAGGAGAACTGTAGAAGCCTCCCTGTCTTACATGTATATTTCAACATATATAAATTTCTACATATTAGATATATATGTGCATATAATTATATATACTTTAAGAATCTCTTATATAAAGAAATACATATATAAATATGTACAAGGAGAGAGAGAGAGAGAATTAGGTTAAGAAAGTATATTTCAGCTTTCATTTTCTTGAGTGTTTTTAGTTAGGCATCAAATTTTGTTGAAGAATTTCTCAGCAACTGTTGAGAAAATTATAAGTTTTTTTGTGATCTATTAATATGCTTTAATATATGAATGGTTTCCTTAATATTAAAACAACTTTTTTATATTGCTATAATAAATGTCATGGTGTACTATTTTTATGTGGTATGGGCACTGTATGTTAATATTTTATTTAGTAACATTGCATTAATTTTCATGAATGATGGTCTGTAGATTCTTCTTTCATGTATTTATTTCAACTGCCTGCATCTGGTTTAGCTTTCATTTTTTGTGATATTTTGCATTGAGAATTTAATTCATTATTTTAATGTTTTTCTTTTTATTGATTAAAAAATGATAGGTAGTGATCCAGACATCAGACAAATTAGAATTCAACTTTTTAAACACGTATGAAGTAAGGTGATCGTACATACTAGTAAGTCCACTTTTCGCTCTAAATTAGAATCACAAAACTTCACTGATAAGCCATAATTTTAGTTTGTGCATGCTGAAAAAAAAATATTTGGTTTTCAAAACAGAAAATTGATATTTAAAATCAATTTCTGCCTAAATATACAATATGCCCTTTCTATTTATTTTTTGAAACTATAAATATGTTTTTACAACTCACTTTTCAGGAAGGTGGAAATTAAAAATGTTTAAACTGGAAATGATCAGTAATAAAATGGATATTTTTCCTTATTTTTAAGCATTTGCTAAAATCACCATACTCCTCTCATTTTTTATTATAGTTTTCTTTAAATAAAATCAAATCTCATACTTTTGGGTACCAGTTCTGAAATATTGTTGGAGGAGATAAAGCTGCCCTCAAAGAATTATCTTAATTGAAGATATAGAGTTTAAGCAGATGAAAAAGTCAATTGACAAATAACTATATAAGCAACTGTTTCTAAAAATCCATGGAAGAGATTTTGTGGGCAAAGGCATCATTAATTGCAAATAAAATATTCAGAACATTGATGGCCAATAAGTTAGAAGTCAGAAAGTATTGTCTCTTCGGGTCATGTTAACCAATCCTCACTTGACTATATCAAAGGATACTCATTTTTATTTCAATCAGATATTCCCTTAGCGCATCATACACTTTCCCGATGAGCCTGTTCAGAACATCAGAATCCTCAGCTCTGCACCCTCCTCTACCATCACCAGTTGATAGGAGTTGGCAAGTGGATTAAAATCTATTTGTGCTCCCATTACAGGCACTTGTTGCTATAAAGATTACTTCTAGTTTGTATTTTAAGAGAATGATTTAAATAGGAGCTGCAATGAACAGTTTTTTTAATGGTAACTTTTTTTGGATAGGCCAAAAGGAAAAGAAATTGTGGGGTTCCAAAAAGAATTCTGGAAGGTTAGAAAGAGCAAAGTCTGCTGTGTGATAAAAGATACACTTACTTGGCAGAGACAAGTTTTCGGTAGGAGTAAGGAGTACTCCTTACAGGGCAGTAAGGAGTACTCCTTACAGGGCTGTAAGGAGTAAGATGAGGATTTGGGTCATTACCCTGTTGTGAAAGGATAAATTTATTTTAATAAAAGTATCTTTTAAGAAGTTTTGATTCCCAGGATGAATTATAGGAAAGAGAGGCAGACTCAGGAGACTATTTGGTAAGATTCCAATAAAGAGAGGGGCTTTTAAAACTGAATAGCCTCTAACAAAGAATCAAGACCTTGAATACTGATGCAGAAAAAATTGAGGAGAGACATGAGAGATATGATGGGGTTCAGGACATGCCACCCCAAAATATGACACCGTGGTATTTGAGCAACAGGAGAAGCAGCCTGCAAAAGTCCTTGACCGAGTCCAGCCATTCTGGGCTGGTGGCTGCCAAGGTTGCGGTGTGGCTTCCTGGAGTGCTGGCTGCAGAGGCTGTGGATCTGAGTTCTATGGTCAGACATGGCCTGGCATGGGTCTAATGCGTCTGTGCAATGGCTCCATCGCACTGGGTGATTTTACACTCTAGCCCACTGAGTGGAGGGGCGGCCGTGATGATCTCGGAATTGACTTTGAAGTCATTATTTCATTGTCTTGGACAATAGTTCCTGGCTTCTCTTTAGATGGTTGGTTCCTTATCAGACGGGCCACACCCTCTGTATTCTGTGCCAAACACACTGTAATGTACGCATTCAGCCTCTCAAGCCACACACACAACGTGGCAGGTGAAGTGTTCAATTAAATATTAGGAGCTTTTAGTAACAATTGTATTTAATGAGCTTCTTGTCAAGAATATCTACTTTTAAAAATGTACTTTCAATTGGTTTGAGAGATTACCGATTATTCAAACGCAAATGATTTCACGTAGTAAGTGAAAAGAACATGCTAAAACAAACTCTGTTACTTAAAGTCTTAATACACAAGGGCTTTGCCTCAGAATCTGGTTAATCCACTCTTTCCTTTCCTTAATGCTGTTTCCCATTTTGTTGCTTTCTCTTAAGAAAAGGTGATCCAGTTCATAAGAAAATAATGTTTTGGCTGAATAATAAAGGGTATCTGTCTGGAAATGTTTGTCTGTCATGGTTTGGGGGGTGTGAATCATTTTTCCTCCCACGACAATGAAAATTAAAATTATTCACAAAATCCATTAGGATTAATTTAATAACAAGAAGTTAACTTGTTGGCACAAATAGCCATTCAGGTAATGTGACAAGTTAGCACAATTTTGAAAATCAAGTGTAATCTTTCAAAGCCACTTTCAGCTTCCATAGTCTACTAGGAGTTTTGCCCATTCCAGAGAATAACTTGTTTAAAAATGGATGAACTTTATTATTTTTAAGGAAATTTATAATAAAAGTCTGCTCATTTTCAATTTTATTATTTCTCATCTGGTTTGTCATAATAATTTGGATGTGTGGCCCTTCTACTAAAAAATTGAAACATGAAAATAATTAATAATTAAAATTCTTTTCAGTTTCTGGGGATTAATATAAACACACAAAGCTTCTTAAATTATTTGACTTAAAAAACATCTAATCTGATACTATGCTAACACCTTTCTAAAACTACAAAGTATTTCTTTTTCGATAGCATCTCTATAACAGTTTTCAGAAAGATATAAGATTTCCTTGGTAAAATCTGGTATTACGCACAACAATAAATTATCTACCTGAGATGTAAAGACTGTTAACCTTCTTTTAAAATTGTTTTTATTGCTTGAGACATTCTGATAGTCTAACCTAAAACTGAAAAATGAATTTTACCATTCATTGAGACAATCTATTACTGGAAACAAAATTTTCACCTTAATTGCTTCTCAGATGATATATTAAAGTCTAATACCATTGTCCCCCGCCCACCAACACACACCAACATCCTGAGTTTAAACTGTTTTCTCAAATGGTGGCAAGATTTTCTGCTTACAGTGCTACTTGAGTCTTTCCATCGCCTTTCCTTTCTGTCTCTCCGACCTGCCCTGTGTTAGTATTTTAAAGAGATTGGCTTTTTGCTATATTTGGGTAGAGTCTGTCTTAATGAGTTTTCAAAACTGATCATATTTCTCATCCCCAGGATACATAAACTATCTTTTAGGATATATTTCAAATATTGAAACAGAATTTCTTATGATGTCACATTTGTAAAAATAGCCCAATAGCATTATAAGTTCACATAACCATCTCTCTAAACAGCACCCATTAATATTACTACCCAAATTTCATTTATATGTGTATTAGTTTAATCTTCTTCACTTTTGTTCCACAGCTTATAATGATTTTTAGAAAACATCTTTGCTTATTCTAGGAGATGAAACTTCTGATTTCAACAATATTAAATCATATCCACTGGAGCTCTAGTGACGAGGTGAACATTTTTTGTATAAGTGCATTTCAATGTTCATAGAAGGAGGCTGATCAACATTACTCCTCAAATTCCAATTTTTATATTGACTTCAAATAAAAAAGTAATTAATATAGTCATCCTAACTTACTCTCAGGGTTTCTTTCTCCATTCCTACTCATTACACTGCAATTAATTTTTGCTCTGAAATATAAATTTCACCAAATATTTTGGAACAAATGGACTTTATAGGCATAAAAAGAGAACCAGCTTAGATTGTAGCCTACAGTTTTTCAAATCATTTTTATTAGGATTTTTTAGAATTTAACTTAATTGCAATATTAATGTCCTTTATCATTAATCTGCTTGATTTTCATTAGTGGAGTTAGAGGAAAGGAAAAATAAGATAATTCTCTAAAGGGATAAAGAAAACCTACACAGGAATTGCTGATTCCCTAAATCAAATGTTACTAGATTTCGATAGTTCTCACAGAATTGTTTATTTTGTAAACTTTATAATGAGGAGAGGTGGAAAGACTTTTATCTAGGTTAAATAAATGACTGTTCATCAACAATATGTTTAACATTTAACAATCATAAATTGTTAACTGAATGACTCTTAACTCTAGCTAATTATACAGATTGTCTTCAACTCTTTAATGAAATGGGACATAATTTTCAAAATTAAAGTGCATTTCAATTAGCAAAAAGTACATGTCAATGGTACAGATTTTTTACAAAGCACATGGATCTCTTTGAAGGATTTTGAATATGTAAATAATCAACACTTTTTTTGAAAAGGGAACCCTAATCTTGTAGCATTCTGAATCAAAAAAGAATGCTATCATCAAGAGTGGACATTAGACAACATAATATTTACTGTCAGAGTTTATTCTCACGTGTGCAGCATCCTGTTAGTAGCTCCAGGGCAAGGACGTTAACCCTTTCTCTTTTGTGCAGTGCTCTCCTACTGAGTGTGGGTTTTGGATTCAGAAAAGCCTGAATTTTAAAGGCTCTTGTCAACTTTTAGCCAAAGCCTTTCTGTTTTAGATAGTCTCTGATTATTAATTTCTTTGGGTAGAGGGAGGATGAGAGCATCTATCGGTTTCTGAAGGTTTCCATAACAAAGCATCACAAACCATGTGGCTTAAAGCCATGGAAATTAATTCTCTCACAGCTCTGGCTGGGAGATGGAAATCTGAGAGCGAGGTGTCTGCAGGGCTGGTTTCTTCCCGGAGCGGAGAGGAAGAATCTGTTCCAGGCTCTCCTCCAGCCTCTGGGTGTTTGCTGGCCATCTTTGGTGATCCTTGGCTTGTTAGAAGCGGAAGCCTGGTCTCTGCCTTCATCTTTGCATGTGTTCTTCCTATGTGTGCCTGTGTGTCAATTTCTGCTTTCTATAAGGACACCAGTCATATTGGATTAAGAATCACCCTAATCCAGAATGATTCATTTTAACTAACAATTGCATCTGTAATGGCCCTATTTCCAAATAAAGTCACATTCTGGGGCGCCAGAGGTTAAGACTTCAACATAAGAATTTGGTTGGGACACAATTCAACTTACAACAGCACCTGAATTCTATAGGATTGCTATAATTGTTTACATGTAAAAATTGACTGAATACTTCACAAATTCTTGCCAGAGGCAGATGCGGTCACTATATGAATAAAAATCCTCCTGTAAACACAGGGCCTGAGTGAGGGTCTCGGATCTTTCCTTATCTGCATGACTTCACCAAGCCATAGCGCTTCTCTTTGTAAAATGGAGATATTTAAAGCAATAAAATACGTAAAATGTTTACCATGGTACTGAGCACATAGCCAGGGCCCAATAAAGGCTAAGGAATTTTATCAGCATGTCTGCACACGTACCGATATAATATTGCATTTCAGAATTTTTCCTCCTTTTTTAAATAAATATGTCATTTGTTTCTCTGATTATATTTCTAAAGGCCAGGCAGAGTCTAAATGCTTAAAAGTTTGGCCAGCTTGTTAATTGGTTGGTTTCACTTAGTTGATATTCTGTGGGTGTCAAATTACTTGTCTTAGAAATTTGGGTTATTTTAACCATCATAAAATATATTTATTAATTCTTTTTTCTTATGAAAATCATTAAAACTTAAGTTTCTATGAGAATAAAAATGTCTAGATCAAATTAATGTAAATTTTAAAGTGTGGTTTAATTTTTTTTTTGCTAGAAAAATAATCAAGTTTCCGTAACAATTTTTTATGAAGGTTGTTTAAAAACTTAATGATTCTAATATTTGAGTACACTGAAATAAACTGTTTTGAACAAAGACCAAACTAAACTGTATATATTACAACAACAAAAAAACATGCTTTTATTTTTACTAGGTATCATGCAAGTCTAAGATGCTCACTTTGGAGTATTAATGCCTACGTTCTTTGTCTAGCTGTGTCTGGATGAAGGGTGGTTGCAGGCACTAAACAGAAATAAGTGTCTTTAAAACAGAACTTTATAAGGTGCATTGTTTAGCTGGTTGGGCTATGCCTGGTGTTATTCAGCCAGTTTAAATATCTATCTGTAAATATATATAGGATCTTTTAAAGATGATGTGGAGGTTTACTTAAAATGAGAAAAATCTTCCCTCTGAATGGAGAATGACAAGGTTTCCCATGCAAGTGATCGCACCTCCTATGGTGTTCTGGGGTTACTCTTCCTATCTTCTCCAAATAAAACAGCTTGAGGTTTTGTTTTGTTTTGTATGTCACCCAGAGCCTTCGCCCATTATTTTGACGCTTGCTTGGCAGAAGAGGGGTGAAGAGGGTAGGCTTGTGTTTGCCTGAATTGTTTCTCCTTAGTGGCGTAGCTTCTAACAATTATAGGTTTTAACTTTCTCACCACTGTTTAACTCCATCCATTCCCCAGATCACACTAGCAAAACAGTGAGGTTATAATAGACCTTTGATGATGGAGGTTTTCAAAGAATAGGCATGAATTGCAGAATAAACCAAAAAAGACTAATTTATTCGCTTAAGAGGGTTGGCCTTGAAGCCAAATTGCCTCTACTGAACTTCATTTGCTGTATAACTTTTGGGGTAATGGCTATCTACTATTTTTGACTTGCCCTGAATCTAGTAATATTTTTTCTATTGGCAGCACCTCGTTTCTTCTTTGAGGAACCACCCTTTCCTACATCCAGTCCACGGATTCAGTTGGGGCTGACTTTATATCTTATGCTCCAGAAACTGGTATGGTTTTAGTCCCAATAATTGACAGTCACAGTGATTTCTAACAAAACAGATATAGGCTCAAGACATTGAATTGTGAGAAATAACCCAGAACTTTTGCTGGAGCTTATTAGGAAAGAGGCATACTCTCTCTATCAGTGTTACTAAGGCATATGAAATTCAAGGCTGCTACCATGGGGGAGCATGTGTGCAGGACACTGAAGAGTTTTCGAAGTAAATGAAAGCAGAACTGAGAAACAGAGACAGAGCCCTGGTGACATTCCTTCAGCAAGGACACGCAGTGCTGCCAGAAGCATGGTCTACCTTAGTGTTTTAATGATATGAGTCACAGTTTCTTATCAGATGGGTAAAAATATGGCATTGGAGCCAGATGGCTTCAGTTCCAAACACAGGTTGACTCTTCCCAGCTGTGTGATCATGAACAAATCATGCACACTCTCTTTGCCTCCTCATCTGTACCTACTTCACAGGGTTGGGAAGCTAATCCATGCAAGAACTTAGAACGGTGCCTGGAATATACTGTGAGCTTTATAAGTCCATGTTATCATCATGCATTATTGCTAGTAGTTTTTCTTTAAACCAATTACAACTTGGTTTCTGTCCCTCATAATCAAGAAGATCTTCTCCAAATAGCTCATAGTGCTATTGTTGGATTACATGCACAGTCTCAAAAGCCTTGGCACATATGGGCTATTCAAGTATTATTTGTTATTGTTATTATTGTTAGCAATGACATAATTATTATCTTCTTTTCCTTCTTCAAAGCATCATTCTTATTGAATGAAAGTATTATTCCTTAGCTCTAAGAATTTCTCCATAGCCATATTCTATCCTTAAGAATGTGTGCCTGACATTTTGGGCATTCTTTTCTCCTTCTCTCTTTTCTGATGCAAGCCTGAAACAAGCAAATAACTTTTATTTTATTATAGAGTTCATATCTGCACGACAACCATGCCATTTCTTAAATATCCAATAGCCATTAAAGTACAGTGTTCAATATCACTTTTCCTACTCCAGACCTTCATCTTAGACATACCAATTACTGGTACATGCTTTATAATTGCAAATTTCTCTGTATTTTGGATTTAATTCTTATGAATAATCCCATGCCCAGCCATTGTCACAAGCAGCAAGGATTGAAGGACAAAAGGTTTCTTACAGTTATATCCACCAGTCGTAAATGGTAAGCAGTGTGTTTTGACACCCATCTCTTCGCCTGGCTTCTAAAGAATCATGAGAGCCCATAACTGGTAGGATTCAAGGAATTTATTTCACACTGGTTTCATGTGGATTCTATTCTTGGTGTCTCAGGATATTCTCACAACTCTTGGTCTGGTGTCCCCAGAATGTCTGTGTTTTTCTTCAGAGTATATATTATTAACCAAAGAGCAATCATTTCTTAGTTTAAACACATACTTAGCTTACGACATATAAATACTTAGTCATTAATGTACACTTTCTATAATGGCTGATAAAACCATAGTAGCCTTCTGTCTCTAATCTAAGCACAGCTTCTATTTGTGTTTCTATTTTCTCTATGGGATCACTGGAGGCTATACGCCCTCAGCGGTTTCAGTGACTGGATGGGGTGGGAGTTAAAGTCACGCTGGAGGGAAGTGGTGTTCCAGCAGAGAATCTCAACTATAAAAGTCGACTCCCTATTGCATAGCACTGTGATATTTCCTGTGAACACCTTTAAATGTGCTAATGATAAGAGCCTGTATTATAGTTTAATGGCTTTATGCTCAGTATCATGTATACTATCCAGAGGATACTCCCTTCACATAGAATTCAGTTCTCATTCTCCCCAGCAATTCATCCCATCTCTCTCACACACACACACACACACACACACACACACACACACACACAGAGAGAGAGAGTAACTGCTTCCTATCTTCCAGAATATTGCTAATTCTTGTTTCAAGTTACCTACTGTCTTCTCTAGGAAACCTTCCCTAATTCCCTAATTCTACCTACTCTTGTCTTCTGGGGCTTCCTTAGTGATTTGTGTATGTCTCTCATTCACCACAGTGAGCCAAGTTAACTATTTCAGCCATCCCTCCCTCATTTAACCATAAGCTCCCAGAGCAAGGCGTTAACATGACCATGAATATTTGCTGTGCCGACTGCTCTTGACTGCCTTATTCATGCGCCCCTCTCCAGTGTAGTGGGCTCAGGGTGTGTCAGACCGGTGAACACTGCAGTCTCGCTTGCTCTTGGGAGTGAGTTAAATCTCGTATGCATAGCAGTTGGGGTTCTTGGTTGCAAACCTCAGGAAGCAACTCAGGCTTTGCAGTTAATGCTTCGAACCTAATTCAGTGGTAAAACCATGTGTTCACACAAACACTGATACAGCAAGAAATTCCTTAAGTACTCAGAGATCACGGATATTATAGGATGACCAAGTTAATCGAAAGTATGTTCAAACATTTGGAATCTTTTAACAAAGCCAGTACATAGACAATTATAATACTGAGTACTCCGGCCACTGAGCATGTGTTCTGGGGTGTCACCAGCTGCACTCAGGAGAAGCTGCCCTGCTCAGTCTCTCCAAGCCACCTCCACCCCAAGCCTTTGCTTAAGCTCTTAGCTCAGGCGCTAAGAGGCAAAAATGTTTCCCTCTGAATTGACCTCATTAAGTGGCTATTTGAGCTTTGTGTAAGCAGAATTATTGTTGGAAAAATGCAGTAAAAAGTAGTGATCTGCAATTTCATTTGCAATTATATTTTTATTAAAACAGTAAATGACTGAAATTCAGATTTCATGCAACATATAGTCACCCTAATAGCAATAAAATTCACATATTAAATATAAATGGAAAGTGCAAAACCATGATATTTTAGTAGTCTGTGGAATCTAAATTTGTATAAGGGTTGATAGAAAAAGTAAATTTCTTGATTACATAACAGTTGGTACAGATTTAAAACACTGCTTAGTCTCCTGATGACTAACAGTGTTTCTAATAAGAAACATGAAAATACCAACATAAAAATAACTTCAGAGGTAAAGCAAGAAATACAGAAAGAAAAATAAAAATGATTTTTAAAAAATAACCATAGGTAGGGGCGGAAGGGATGAATACTTTTTTTAGTTGAGATATTAAAAATAGTAATTATAAGAATATAAAACAATGTAGAATGCACTATAGATTACATTATAGGTAAGATTCTATTACTTCACAAGTAATTCATGAAGTATGTTTTAATACAACAGATAACAGAATGTGAAGCCTATTGTTGATTAGCTATCAGGCATGTTTACTAAATCAAAAAACATACAATCATGACAAGTTTTTAAATAAATCTCATTTACAAAAATCATCATAAGAATATGAAGTACATGAAATATCTTGATCTTAAATCATCCACTTGCCTACAGGGGTAGGGCTATGTGTTATATTAAGTCCAACTGCTGAGTAATTTGCAAAAAAACTGGGAACTGTTTGCTCATTTGAGTTCAACATATATTTTCCCCTTTTAGTTCTAAAATTAATTTGTGTGAAGAACTTGTCCAAATAAAAATCACTCATGTTATGAAGATACCTCCTATGAATTAAGAAGACAAATATAGACATGAATTGATGATGATAAATACAAAATTTGGACACTTTGTAATGCAGTTCCATTATATAAATAATTTTATTTTAACCTTTTTATTCATTTTAATTGACAAACAAAAATTGTATGTATTTATCACGTGAGGTGTGACGTATGTTTACACAATGGAGTAGTATTCAGCCTTAACAAAAAGTTCGGTCATTTGTGACCACATGGATGAACAGGGACGTTCTGCTAAGTGGAAGAGGCAGGGAGGGAAAGACAAAAACCACGTGATTATCACACTTACACGTGGGACCTAAAGCAGTTGAATTCACAGAACTAGAAAGTAAAATACTGTTTTGCCAGGGGCTGGGGGCTCGGGTGCGATGTTGGACAAAGGGTACACATTTCAGTTAGACAGAAGGAATAAGTTCAACAGGTCTAATGAGCAGCATGGCGACCAGAGTTAATAATGGTGCATTATATTCTTGAAGATTGCTGACAGTAGATACTAAAACATGATGTTTTTTGTGATTAAAAAGAATTACAAAAAACAATAAACATATGAGGTAATGCACACATTAATGAACTCAAGGCCTCCCCCACCTTCCCCCACCCCTGAATTCTTGGGCCAGCCTCTGCTGTCTCTTCCAGGGTAGAGGCCCAGGTCCTGACTATGGCCTGTGAGGCTCATCCTGGTCCATCCCCACTTTCTGTGTTACATCCACTCCACACTTTACCACCTCTCTTCCCCTCTGGCCCCTTGCTCTCTGGAACCTCACCCAGGTGCACACCCTCCTCAAGCCTTGCATAGGCTGCCCTGTCCTCTGGAGCACCTTCCCAAGGCCTGTCCTTCCATCCTCGGCAGCATCACTGCTCAGAGAGCCAGGCCAGGCAGCACAGCCACAAAGCCCCATGGAAGTGGGCATGTAGACCTGATCTATAGAAATCCCCACTTTAACAGAGCTGTAGGTCATGGAGACCTGCCTTGCCTTGCAAAACGAACCCTATGTGTGTGAAGCATTGAGATTCTCTAACACTTTGGCTGCAAAGATATTTTATGATGTGCATTATGAAGAAAAACAAAATGTAGAGAGAAGTCATACCAAAGTTGTTTTCCCTAATGTATAATACATTTAAGCATGAATATGTCTCCAAAAACATATCTTTAGGTGCCAGCATCTTTTAAGTCTAAGTGGCAGAAGACAACTTGAACTAGAGTATGTCAAGCAAGGACAGAAACATGCAGGCTCAAAGAACAGATGATGGCTCATCTCTCAGAAATGACGAAAGGCTGTGAAACTCAACATCTGAATGTCGGAGTTGCTAGGTTGTCTGAGAGTTCCTGGAAGCAATGGCAAAAATGAAAATCGTTGAATCTCTTGGCTAATAAAGAAAATGTGGAGTTTCGTGGTAGTTGGTAGGCTGTCTTTGTTGATTTTACCTCTTAAAAAGAAGAAAATTTGCCTCAGATAATTGTAGAACTTTGGACCATTCACACAGCTAACTTTTTCATCATTTGTAAATTACATAACCTGCATTCCAGATATTTACATGTCTAGAAGGCTCTTGGTATAAGTTAAACTTTATTACTTTTTATTCAGACTTCATACTTTTATTTTTAATTTCCTGAATGCCATTATAAAATATTAGTCATAGAAATTCAAATCAGACACTGAAGCCCATTTCCAGATGGCAGAAGTGATGACTTGAAGGTCACCGATATGAGGAAGTGGTCTGACGTGATGAGGAAACTTCCTGTGGTGTAATGTATGGAAAATCTACATGCCCAAAGGGTGGCATTACCTTTGCACAGAGTAGGCGGGCCAGGCAGCTCTGGGCATGGGATGATAGTGAATTTAGCCTCCTCAGGAAACTTACTGGTTGCCAGATCAAAAAGCTTCCTACACATCTGTCTCAAAAGCCCAAATACTAACTACAGATACAGACTTTAAGTGGTGGCTGCTCAAACACCACACCTCCACCCGCCTCACCCACCCTGGGTATGGAGTGTGCCCCCCGCCCCTGCCCTTAGTCCTGTGAATCACATGAGCTGGGGCAGTCTTCACCCCTGTGGGCTTGGAGGCATTTTACTTTCTGAGGTCTTAAGATGCCTCCTCTGATCATTTCTTCTCTAGCACTCCATTCACTTCTCTTTGCTCCTTCCTCTTTAAATAAAATATATCCTTTTATTTGTCTGAACTAAGATTTCCTGAAAGCATTGTCAAGACAACCACAATCTCTGATATGTTTTTCTTCACACAGAGCACCATTTGTCTTCATAGGCTTCCTCCAGACACTTCTCCACAGCCCTTTCTTTGTAAACTAAAAAGCCCTATAAATAAATATTCCTGATCAAAGAGTTTCTTCACTAAAAATAGTATTAGTACAGATTGTAAAAGAACTAAGTTATATCTAAACCCCTTGCATAAAGTTGTAGTGACATCTTCTCACTACAAGGACTTGGAAACCAACTCATCGTGTGGACTGGTGGTTGCTGCCACTGAAATGTGTGCATTTTAGCTACCCCAGCCTTCAACCCAGGTAGCAGGAGAGGTGTTCCTCCTCAGCCGGACCCGCAGGGGCTTAATGTCTTAGAAATGTCTCTCTTCCTTCCTTCCTTCCTTCCTTTCTTCCTTCCTTCTTTCCTTCCTCCCTCCCTCCCTTTCTCTCTCTCTTTTTCTTTTTTCTTTCTTCTCTCCTTCACCTTTTTTCTCTCATTAATCATCTATGTACCTCCTACCCATTTTCCAAACTGATGTAACACAAGATAAATATAAATAAGTAAGGAAACTGCAAAAATATAAATATAGGAAAGTAAGAAAACTGCCAAAGGCAAAGATTAGAAGAAAAAAAATGGGATAATGCAGAGATGAAGTATTATAAAAAATAAGTCTTCTGAAATGCTGAGCACTTGCAAATGTGCTGCTAACCTTCTTGGAAGCTGAGACAGAAGACAAATCACTCGTGAGAAAACATGACTACTTTTTTCATGAAGACATAAAATAATTCTTCTGCAGTTATTATTAGAGAGGATGCAGATGACGAATATGACTAGCATCATCAACAGCATCATTGAGTCAATGCGCTAACTTATCAGGCTGTCCCTTTGTTTAAAATGCTCACGTTTCCTGTTGCATAAATACAGTTCAGTTAAAAAAGCTTGTTGAAGAGGTCAGTGAGAGTTTCTAGAAGACAGTTAATGTGTGTTTTGAGCGTCCTACGTACCCGATGTGTTCTACGGGTCTCAGTAACATAAGCAGTGTCAGTGATCTCAAGCTATGTATGCAAAATTTTAACAGATAAGCAAGTAAAGTTTACTCTATGTGCCCAGTTTCTGACTTAATGTCCTAACAATGGAGGGGTAGAATAAACTTTACGCATATATATTAAATCCAAATTTTACAATAGAAATTGATGAAGAGTATAGTTTGAGAAGGAATATAAAATATAAGAAATGTGTATTAGCATAATGCTAAATAAGCATCTATTTAAAAGGAAAACATAACTTTAGTATAAAAAAGAGTAGTTAAAGTAAATCTAAAATAGAATTTTTCACATAGCTATACATTCAATAAATATAAATGAATGAATGGACAGATGTCATTTTAAGAGTGGATCCTTATTTCTAATATGTATGTCAAGCATATTTTACTTATATGAGAAAACATACACTTTTCATAAAATTTGAACATGAATGTTGCTGATGTATACAGTTAAATATATCTAATGTTATTATAAAACTTCCAGGCCAGGCGCAGTGGTTCACGCTTCTAATCCCAGCACTCTGGGAGGCTGAGGCAGGCAGATCACCTGAGGTCAGGAGTTCGAGACCAGCCTGACCAACATGGGGAAACCCCATCTCTACTAAAAATACAAAATTAGCTGGGTGTGGTGGCGCATGCCTGTAATCCCAGCTACTCAGGAGACTGAGGCAGGAGAATTGCTTGAACCCAGGAGACACAGGTTGCAGTGAGCCGAGATCGCGCCACTGCACTCCAGCCTGGGCAACAAGAGTAAAACTCCATCTAAAAAAAAAGGAAAAGAAAAAGAAATCCTCCAGTTGAGTATTTTTCCCTTCACTTTCAGAACACATACACACGGAAACACACTTTGATGTTTTCATAAATGCATATACTCACACAACCACCACCATGATCAAGGTATAGAACATTTTGATCCATTCAACAAAAATGTCCCTTTTCATCGTTGAGTCCTTCCCCCTCACCTAGACCATGACAAGCACTGGATTGCTTATTGCCCTTAGAGTTTGGCCTTTCCCAGGATGGCATATTATAAAACTATTATAAAACTGTAGCTTATGTATTTTTTTATTTCTGGCTTCACTTTGCTTGAAAGTTTTGAAATTCATTTATTTCTATATATATATATATATATATATATATATATATATATATATATATATATATATATATCAATAGTTTATTTTCTTTATTGTTAAATAGTACCCAATTTTATGAATATACCACAATTCGTTTATCCATTCATCAGATGATATACATTTGAATTGTGTGCAGTTTTTAACTTTTATGAACAAAACTTTTAAAAACATACACGTATAGGTCCTTTGCTCTCAGTTATTTTTATTTTTAATGGATAAATACTTCAGACTAACATTGCTGGATCATAAGATAAGTAGATTTGGGCTTGATAAAAGCTTTCCTAAGAGAATTCACAGCTTTTCCTCTCTCACCACTGATGTATGAGACTTCTAGTAGCTTCACATCCTCACCAACACTTGGTATAACAAGAAATTTTGCTTTGCCATTCTGGTGAATGTACAAGTGGTCTTAATGTGTATTTCCCTAATTGCTAATAATGTTGAACACATTTTTGCTTCTAATTGGCCATTTTTACATCTCTTTGGAAAGTACCTGTTTGCCTACTTTGTAATTATATTCTCCTTTTATTGAATTGCAAGAATTTCTTATTTATGCTGAATACATTATAAATATGATATGGAGTGTAGATAATTTAATAAATGTTTACCAGTACTTTCTCCCAATTTGTGACTTCTGTTTCATTTCTCTCTGCGATGACTTGTAATATTCAGTGCACAGATGTTGTGCATATTTTGTGAAATTTACCCCAAAATATTTCACAATTTTTATGTGATTATAAGTAGTTCCAGTTTTTAAGTTCAAACTCCCATTGGTTATAATATATAGAAATAAAATGACTTCTTGTTTATGGACCTTATATCCTGTGACCATTGTAAACACTCTAAACTGCTACCAATTTTATAAATCCTCAGACTTTTCTAACTAGATGATCATGCCATTTCTGAATAAAGGTAATTTTGTTTCTTTATTCCTGATCAGTTTGCCTTTAATTTTTTTTTGTCTTGCTTTATTCTGCTAGGTAGAAGTTTCAATATAATTTTTAATAAAAGTGGTATGTTTGGACATACTTTCCTTGTCATTTTTCCTTTGTTTTCTTGTTTCTTAGAACAAAAGCATTCCTCTAAGTTTTCAAATGTATTGCAATAAGTTGTTCACAATATTCTATTATGATCGTTTTATTATCTGTTGTATCTGTTGTGATGGCCTATCTTTCACTGGCAATTTGCGCCTCCTCTATTTCTCTTAATGAAACTGACTAGAATTTATTGATTTTATTATTCTTTGTTTTTGCATTTATTAACTTTCATTTTCATTGATTTCTATTTTCATTTGTATTATTTCCTTCTGTTAGACAGATTTGAATTAAATTTCCTCTTCCTTTTTGTAGTTTCCTAAGTGTAAGTGTAGATGATTGATTTGAGATTTGTTTCTAAAGTAAACATTTAATGCGATAAATATTCCTCTATGCAATGTTTTAGCTCCATATGACATATTTTGATATGACTTGTTTTCATATAATCCCATTCAAAATATTTCCTTATTTCCCTTGTAACTTTTTATCTGACCAGTGAATTATTTATAAATGTCATTTTTAATTTTAAAATATTTTGGATGCTGGCCAGAGTAGCTCATTCCTATAATTCCAGAACTTTGGGAGGCTGAAGTGGGAGGAAAGCTTTCGCCCAGGAGTTCCAGGCTGTAGTGAGCAGTTGTTGGATCACTACATTCCAGTGCCAGTTCCGGCAACAGAGCAAGACCCTGCGTCCAAAAATAAAAAAAGTTTAATAGTATTGTTCAAATTTTCTATATATTTACTAATTTTCTGTATTCATCCCATCAATGATGGAGAGAGAAAGAAGTGTTTTAATTTCAAACAATATTTATGATATTTGAAAAAAAGTTCTGTTTTCTTGGGTTTTGCTTGATATCATTGGAAGCTCTGTTATATATTTAAAAGTTTTTTTTAATTCTTGATGAAGTGACCCTTAATTATCATGCAATGTTTCTCATTATTCCTGGTAATATCACTTATTTTAAAATCTACTTCATCCAATATTTATATAGCTAATCCAGCTTCTTTTGGAATTGTGTTTCCACAATCTACTGTTCCCTCTACTTATTTTTAACGTGTGCTACATGTAGACAGCACACAGTTGGTCTTTGCTTTTCATCCAATATAAACATCTTGACCTTTAATTTTATCTTTCAAGAGACTAATATCTTACATAATTATTAATATACTTTTATTAAAATTTGACATCTAATTTGTCATCTCCTATTGGTGCCATCTGGTTTTTTTTTTCTGTATTTTTCCCATTTCCTTAGTTTGAAATAATTATGTTTTTATGTTTCCATTTTATCTCTACTTTTGGCTGATTGGCCTCATCCTTTTTATTATTTATTTATTTCTCTGATTTCTCTGAGGTTTGCAACATTCACATTATTCTTAATACAGATGACCTTTAAATAATATTAAACCACAGCACATGTAATATACAATCCTAGCAACTTTTTTCTCTCTCCTCCTATCCTTCGTACTATCGTCATATATTTTGTTCTTACATATGTCATCAAGCCCACAACTCTTTGCATTATTTTTATTTAAATGCTTTAATTAACTTTGATATGATTAAAATGGGAAACATGTCTCATATAGGTAGCTTATAGTTACAAATCATAGCTCTTGCATTCCTTTGTGTATATTTTAATTTCCACTGATATCATTTTTCTTTTGCCTCCCGAATTCTCTCAGCTTTTATTTGCGTGAGAAAGGCTTTATTCACCTTTATTCATGAAAGATATGTATGCTGGGTATAGAAATCGGTCTCTGTAAAAACAGAATATTTACTTATGGACCTGACTGGTTTTTTTCTGCCAGGCTCTTAACTATGGTGTGTTGAGTCCACGTAGTCTGCACTTGAGCCCTACCTGTTTTGTTGTTTCCGAAGTTACCTTGGGTGTACTGTAGCCTTCACATCCCTTCAGTAGTAGCCTGCCACTGGCCTGAACTTAGTCTGGGACCTGGAGTGCCAGAGAACACGTTCAGTCATCCACCTTTACTGTCAGTGTACTGCTGTCTCAGACCACATGCCCTTCTCAGCGGCTGGTTTCCTGCTACCCAGTGGAAGGGGCGGCTGCTGTTATTGAGAGCAAAGCGTGTGTTTTCTCGACTCCAGACTTAGGCTTAGGCAGGCCCCATGTGTCTGAGTTTCAGGAAAACAACTTTCTTAGCATCCTTTCCTCCCCCAGGGAAATCACTCTGCATAGTCTGGAAAGCAGGCCTGTGTCCTGCACACATCCTCGCCCTGCCCACAGGTGACAGCACACTCTGCTTGGTAGCTGGGTGTGTGGTGTCTCCATCCCTGCCCCCACAGCCAACTCCGAGGTTCACTGTATCAGTGCGGACTCCTGGGGAGGAGTGAGATTTCTGCCTAGTGTTATGCAGGGAGAGAGGTGTTTTTTTTACCTTTCCTCAGTGGTAGAAAACCGTTTTCTGTTATCTGGACAGGTGTGTTTCCACCCTTCCCTCAGGAGCAGATGGCATTTGCCCCACGTTAAGAAGGGCCCGGGCTGCAGGCAAGTTTTCTGTCTGTGCCTAAATGCGCATAAGTTTCCCATGGACTCCTGTGTTACCCTCAAAACTAGGCAGTCCCTGCACAACCGTGTCACTGAAGTGGAGAGGGACCTTTGGGGCCTGCAGTGCTGCCTGCAACCCTTCTTGTGGGCACCTGAGCTGCCCGTGGGGAAAAGCCAGCTGTAGGGGTTATGGGGGCAGGTACCTGGTGTCTAGGGCTCACAGGGATTCCAACCTGCCAGTAATGTTGGCCCTGGGCCTTCAGGGGGACTCTTTTCCTGGAGTGCTCCCAGATGGAACCATTTGTGTGCCCCATGCTCCTCAGAGGAAACTCAGGTCACATGGGCACCTTGCAGCTTCATAGTTTCAGTAGTCTGATAGTTGCAATAGTGCTGATAGTTGCAACAGTGCTGATAGTTGCAATAGTGCTGATAGTTGCATAGTCGCAATAGTCTGACAGTTGCAATCGTGTGGATAGTCTCAAAAAATTATGATTATTTATTTATTTATTATGATTTTTTAGATTATCCACTTTTTTTCATTGTTAGACTAAAACAACTTTCTCTTTTCTGCTATTGAACCTGTTTCCCTCTTTAACTGTTATTATACTCTGGAAATATGGAAACCTGTATTCAGAGGAGCTCATTTGGGGTGGAACATAATGGGTGAGTATTGGGTGCAGACCCGGTGCGGAGTAGTTGTTATGGACTAACCTGAACCTGATCACAAGTAGGGCTGCCTGATTTTAAAGGTTAGCAAGCATCACTTTCTGAAACTCATATCTTGAAATGACATTGGAATATCTTCAAGTGGAAAAAGGGCACATGGGTGTGATTTTGAATTTTTTTAATGTAAACTTATTTTTAGAACAGTTTTGGGTTTATAGAAAAATTGAAGAGTATTACATTGTTCCCGCATCCCCTTCCCAACATACACAGTTTCCCCTATTTGCATCTTGCATTGGTGCACTGCGTTTTATAATTGATGAGCCAATATTGGCATATTCTTATTAACAAAAGTCCATAGTTGACACCAGTGTTCACTCTTGGTGTGGCACAGTTCTATGGGTTTTGACAAATGCATAATCAAATCTATCCACTATTATAGTATCATACAGAATAGTTTCACTGCCATAAGAATCCTCTATGTGCCATCTATTCATCTCTGCCCATCCCCACCCCTGACAACTGCTGATGTTTTTACTGATGCATAATTTTGCCCTTTCCAGAATGTCACATAGTTGGAATCATACATAGTTTGTTCAGATTGACTGATTTCACTTTATTATAACGCATTTAAGAATCCTCTTTTTTATAAGTGTTTTCTACAAAGGAATAGATTCTTTTTGTGGAAATGATGTTCTGAAACTCTAAAAGATATCATTCACCTTCCTCAACTTCAGTTTCTTTATTCATAAAATAGGGATTATATATTAATTTCTATCCCAAGGTTTTTGAGTGTTGAAAAGATAATTTACATGTAAAAAAGTAAAATGTTAGACAAATATCATTTTTCTTAAAATATTGTAATGAATGCAAAGATATGAGGGATTTGGGGAGAGGAATTAAAATTAAAATGCAAGCCAATTCCTGACATGAATGAGAAAGGAAGGTATATGAGGGGAATTAAAATTAAAATGCAAGCCAATTCCTGACATGAATGAGAAAGGAAGGTATATGAGTTCTATTATCAGTTTTTGATTTTTACATTGTTTGATAGTAATTTCTTTAAATTACTTATGTTTCCAAGATACTATCATGATATTTCAATGAGAACACTTTAACTCAGAGAAAGATACATAATCATCTTTAGTTTAGTTTATTTGTTTTATAATAAGCAACTAATATTTTAGCTTTTGCTTAGAGCTCCTAAAACATATTGGGCTGAAATTATTTTAAGTAAAAGGATAAATTTTTTGTGTGTCAGCTGAGTGTTTAATTTATATACGCCACATCATCTTATCTAAGGGAGAATCTTTTTTGCTCCACAAAACTTTATTTTCTCCCAATGGCTTTTATTTTGAACAAAAGGAATTTACTTTTGATATTTGCGCAGACCTGTCCAGGACTGATGATATTTTGTTGATTGTTATATTAGCAGGCTGTGTTGTCTGCTCAGTATCATTCAAGAACTATGAGTGCATATTCAGGTGTCAGAGAAAATCTAAAATCGTGGGGAAATATATTTATGTCTCATGAAACAATTTTGCTATTCTTAGATCATTTTAGGGATTTCTAAAATACTTTTTGATAAATGAAAGATTTAAAAGCCTCTTCTCTGAATCATCTTTCTCAGCTTTTCCTTGAACTTTATTGTGAGAAAAAATATAGTATTTTTATTATCTTTTTCTTACTTAAAAATAGAGTTTAGGCTGCCTAAAATTTTATCAACTTTTATATAAATGTATCTTTGTTCTTACATATCAGAGGGCTAGAAGAAACAAAAGAACTATATAATGTATACATTTTAGTCTTACCAAACCAGAACAAAGTCTATTTTATGAGTGATGTTTATTTTGAAAATCTGGACAAAACCCTGAACATTAAGGGCATAGTTCAGATATGTGTTGAAATTGCTATGTATGTTGACAGAATTTACCATTGAATGGAAAAATGAGAAATTTTTACTTTGAAACCTGCCCTCTACCAAGACTTCAGCACTACAACCCCACAGATAGCATGAAATAAGTTGTATTTTGAGAAAGATTGCATTGCCTTGGACTGTAAACCTCCTGTTGACTCTAGTTTGAGGCATTGCATCAAATCCCAAGATTGAATAATCTGATCTGGAAAGTCACTGTCCAAGACTTCATGGTTTCTAATTCTGGTGTCTAACAATTTGCAAGACATCTATTATTTTGCTTTAAATTTCCAGCATAATATTTTGCCAACTGAGGAATATAGTCTACGAAGTTTTATTTCTAATTGTTCTTAGGTATTTGTTACTTTAAAATTTGATTAAAAGATAAATATCTGCTTTATAACCAAGCATAAACTTGTTTGCCTAAGCCAAACAATTCAGCTTTGTTCCGTAAAGGTGCCAGGAATTTGCAGCCTGCTCTTCCTCCTGCTGTTTGGTAGTCACGGGCACTCAAATTGTGATCTGCTTTTGTGACAATTGTCTTTTAAGGGAGACAGCTCCATTAGCAGTTTCATCAGTCAGCATAAGAGTATCTTATATTCGTACTGATACTTTCTTTGGTGTTTATTTTATTTTCTTATTATTAGTTCATTTTAGAAAAAAAAAAACACCATATGAAAAAGAAATTTTTCTGTAGTCAATGCTTTGCTGGCCCAGAAGGAAAAGCAGAGAATTCTGGCTGAGAACATCCTGAGAGAACTGCTGCTGTTTCAGCTCATTGCCATCTGAGCATGCTTGGAAGCTACCCTTGCTCTCTGTTACTGAAGCAGAGATTCTGGGACAAGGTCATCTTCAGGTTACTTTTCAAGGAACTTTTTCTGCCTTCTTTTGCCTCAAGTTCCAACTGAGAGGCCGGAGAAGCTGACGGTGTCGCACGGTTCAGATCTTTTCCACGTGAAGGCATTCTGGTTCGAGTTGTCGAGAACTCCATAGCCATGCGTAGATCGCACTCTTTGTGGCCTGGATGACACTGTAAATATAGAGTAACTCTCAAGGTAATTTGTACCCTGGATTTACATCAACTGCTGATATGTGTAGTCCTGGGGCTCTCCAGCCTCCCAGGGGACAGTTCTGTTACTGGTGGCGAATCTATATCCTTACGGTTCTGTAGCAACCTGAATTCCTGCCTCCTCAGAAGAAAGAATTTGAGTGCATAAGGCAGAAGGAGAAACCAAGGCAGGCTTTAGAGCAGGAGTGAAAGTTTATTAAAAAGCTTTAGAACAGGAACAAAAGGAAGAAAAGTACACTTGGAAGAGGGCCAAGCGGGCATCTTGAAAGCCAAGTGCATGGTTTGACCTTTTGACTTGGGGTTTTGTAGGCTGGCTCACTTCCAGGGTCTTGCGCTGCTTCTCCTGACTTGCCCAACTCCTTGGGAAGCTGCTGATCACCAGTTTCAGGTGTTTTCTATCTATTAGGAGACTGGCTTTCTCTGATGCCAGCTGTGACCAGTCATTACTTTAGAGAGACAGTTAACAACCACCTGCCCATCACCTGATGGACCCTGGATACTCCTGGTATGTGTCGGGCAGGAGGAGCCCTCTCCTGCCCTGCTCATACCTGACTAGCTACCCACTGTAACAGTTTCAGTGGAGCCACTCAATTTATTGAAAATGTGTTCCTGAGCCTAAAACGTAACTCCAGCAATTTTCTTGGCATTCTATGCTACCCCTAAAGGATTTCGTCTTTAGCTGCCCTGAGATTATAGTCTCTGGTTGTCCCTTGAGAATGAGTGGGATTAACTTCTTCAATGAGAAACACATTTTGCAAAACACACAGCTCTTGACAGTTAATGTTCTGTTCTGCTGAAAACTTGCACATCTACTTAACACAGCATTTGCATTTCTCATTGGCTCCTCTAATTCAAAAAGAAAGTTTATTGCTCTAATACTTAAGATCATCTGGTATACTCATCACCCCTCCTTCCTTGTGTACCTTGATTCTATTTCTCTGCTTATCTCTCCACCTGTATTTATTTATCTTTACATCCTATCCTTCAAATTTAAACTTCAAATTTAGTTAATCCATATAAAAAATCTCAAAATACAAATATATCACATTTAGTTGGTTTTAACCAAGTAAAGGCTTAGGCATCAACCCCAAGGTTATAAGCTACTGGGTTCATTAGATTTTTATATCCCATTAATGCATATAAAAAGTCCATGAAAATATTTCTGCTAATCCACATAACTGAATCATTTTACCTATTAGAGCTAATTTCTAGCATCAAACAAGCCACTATTTTCATTGATGAAAATCTAATATGTATTATACTAATTAGTGAAGCTTCTGGAATTGATGAGAGATACACATAGTTGAAAGAACTTATAATAGCCTTCTCTAAAAATTAGACAGAGTAAATGACAGCTGATCACCAGCACTGGGCTATGAATACCTAGAATATAGATTAAGCTAACCCAATGCAAAAGCATGCATTCAAACACACTGACACATAAACACACACTGAATTGTTTTTAATCACAGTGGCATAATACTTCCCTCCAGAATGTGAGATTTAGGGTAGTGAGAAGTTGTTTGTTCATCAATGCATCATTACTTCCTGCGACTATGTCTAGTACATAGTAGGCACTCACCAAATCTCTCTTGAACATCTTTTTTCAAATGCAGTTAATACACCATCAGATCTTTGAGGAGGTGCATGAACAGAGATTAAAATCTGGCAAGAGAGACCCTAGAGGAAGGAGTCCATGTCCCATCGGCTTCTGAGGACAAGATAGAACACAGAGTAGGACTTTGTCTCAATTAGAGTGACTGCCTTAGAAACCCTGGTGACATGTCCTCACCCGCTTCATCCCTAAATGGTCTTATATCCAAACTTTGTTACAGAAGACTCTGGCTAATATCTCAGTTTTCATTCCCTTTTTTTGTGGTCAACAACATTCTTCTCTTTAGCACGATGAACTGCTTCAGAACAGGGATTGTGTCTCATCTTCCTAGTTTTTAAAATTCTTAAGCTCAGTAAAAAAGTTTGTACTCAGTATTTATTGTATAAATGTAAATAAATAAAAAAGTTTCTAAACATTACTGATCATTTTCAGGTGCATAGATAATTATAATCCAAATTAGTAGATTGAAACTGTATTGGCATCAGCATGTCCTCTGAATGTCCCTTTTTGTTGTTATTTGAAAGGATTTTTAAAACATTTTAAAATCTTGAATGAGGATTTTTTTAAGTTATTTTTTAATGTAGAATGCAAGACAAAATAAGAAGTTCTGGTTAATTGATAGTTCTGTTAGATTAGTCTCCAACAGATAAAACAGATACTTAGAATTGTTTCTTTGTGCTATAGGAGAGGAGACATTCATAAAGTGTTGTAGCATAAAGCTGAACAAAAATGAATCGTCTGTTATCTTCCTTTTCGGAGGCAGAGTTGAGGCATAAAGGACTTTATCCACAGTTTGAAAATATCCATAGTTCGAAGATAATATATGCTTTTTTTCCCAGCGTGGGCAATATCTGTTCATTTCAGGGAGGAACAAGCTCATGGAGGGGCCGTCAGCACCTATCTCTGTGCACACCCGCCACTCAAGGAGCACATTTAGCCTGCAGCTAATGTCTGCTGTGATTGATTCCCGGCAAGCCTCTCAAAACGGATGTCACTCCAGGCTCTTAAAGGATATTTTTTCTGGAATTGTTTAACCTCCTAAGAAGCAATAGAAGTTCTTAAAAATAACTTTTATGCCAGAAGTTGAATAACTTTGTACAGCTTGTTTTTGTTTTTACCAGAATATGTAGAGAGAACTTAATGAGGTGCCATATGTCAAGTCTGGAGTCAGATTAAAAACAAATAATTAAAATATATCCCTTTTCCATCAAAACAGATTGTGATATGTTGGTGGAAGGAAGCTGAATCTGACATGTCATGTTTTGACAGATTTTTTTTTTCGAGAAAAAAAATCAGTCATATTGTTAGAAGTATTGTACTTGAAAGTTGTATTTTTCTTCCTGTGGAATAAAATACTTGAAACTTAAAACTGTGGAAAGTTTTAAGTCATAATTAATTGAACCTGCCATATCTATTAACCTGCCATAATGAAATAAGGAAGGCACATATTTTGGGACATATGGAAGCATCTGAGGAACATTCGTTTGGCATACAGACGTCAGAGAGTAAGAGAAATGTTGCGAGGTTTTATGTGTGTTGATGGTGGGATATGTGTGTATGTGTGTGTTGTGTGTTTGGGCAATTTCATATTTCTCCTTAAATTCAAATTGACTTTAACTATACAACAGATTATTCCTCAATGAGGACAGACATTTTCCAGTATTTTTTTTTCATGAATGAGAGGTTGATAAGTTCTTGTTGACTTTTTTTAACATTAAAATATAATACTTTAGGCCAAGTCTTCAGTATGTAAAAGTAAGAATATAACTTGTATAAATAATGAGATTTCTATTCTTACTTCGCAGAATGGCATAGAAATAAAGCATTCAAATCACCACTTCGGTCAGTCCCACATGGGAATATTTGATGGCATCCTAATCACAGGGGACTTTAAACACATAACCTGGCCATAGAGCAGGAACTTTTCAGACCCCACCTGGATCTAACTAAGCAGAGGGGCTTCTCAGCGGGGGAGGTAAAACCCTGGGATCTCTTGTTAAGCCAGCTTCACACAGGGAACTTAAATGAGCCTGGAAGCTCCGTCAGGTCACAGGATTAATCAAGATGGTCAAAAATAACAACACTTTCTGGAGATGAAGGTCAGGGATGCTCAGAGTACACAGGCCAGCATAGGTGGAATTATCCAAAAGCTGGTTTCTCACCCTAAGAGCCCAGTTCTTTGACAGCACACTTGCTTTCAGTTGGGGGAAGCTAGGAAGGTCACCCAGAAGGCTTTTTGAGGTACTCGTGCTAATTATATCTGTGACAAAGTCGCACCATTAGGGGCTTTTTGCCAGATCTCTGGTTGGCAAGGCTGTGCGACACTGCGGGAGCTTACCTGCTCTTTAACATAGAAGGACCTCTGGTGTGATTCTGTCCTGAGTGACTGTTCTCTTGAGCAGTAGTCATTTATCTCCATCCGCCTTCTCTCCCACCTAAGTACATGCCACCACCTCATGGAAGATTCGATGGACATGGACACGAGCACCCTGAGGCCCCAGAATTACCTTTTCAGTTGTGAACTAAAGGCCAACAAAGATGATCACCTTAAGGTAGATAATGATGAAAATGAGCTCAAGTTATCTTTAAAAACAGTCAGTTTAGTGGTTGGTGCAAAGGATGAATTGCACACTGTTGAAGCAGAGGCAATGAATTACAAAGGCAGTCCAATTAAAGTAACACTGGTAACTTTGAAAATGTCTGTACAGCAATGGTTTCCCTTGGGGGCTTTGAAATAACACCACCAGTCGTCTTATGGTTGAAGTGTGGCTCAGGACCAGTACATATTAGTGGACAGCACTTAGTAGCTGTGGAGGAAGAGGCAGAGTCAGGAGATGAAGAGGAGGAGGATGTGAAACTCTTAAGTATATCTGGAAAGCAATCTGCCCCAGGGGGTGGTAGCAAGTTTCCATGGAAACAAGTAAAACTTGCTGCTGATGAAGATGATGATGATGATGACAATGATAATTTTGATGATGAGGAAACTGAAGAAAAGGTGCCAGTAAAGAAATCTATATGAGATACTCTAGCCAAAAGTGCACAAAAGTCAAATCAGAATGGAAAAGACTCAAAACCATCAACACCAAGATCAAAAGGACAAGAATCTTTCAAAAACAGGAAAAAACTCCTAAAACACCACAAAGACCTAGTTCTGTAGAAGACATTAAAGTAAAAATGCAAGCAAGTATAGAAAAAGGTGGTTCTCTTCCCAAAGTGGAATCCAAGTTCATCAATTACGTGAATAATGGCTTCTGGATAACTGACCAGGAGGCTATTCAAGATCTCTGGCAGTGGAGGAAGTCTCTTTAAGAAAATAGTTTAAACAATTTGTTAAAAATTTTCTGTCTTATTTCATTTCTGTAAGAGCTGATGTCTGGCTGTCCTTTTTATAATGGAGAGTGACAGCTTTCCCTGCCATGTTTGATAAATGTTGTCCAGGTTCCATGGCCAAGAATGTGTTGTCCAAAATGCCTGTTTAGTTTTTAAAGATGGAACTCCACCCTTTGCTTGGTTTTAAGTATGTATGGAATGTTATGGTAGGACATAGTGGTAGTGGTGGTCAGACACGGAAATGGTGGGGAGACAAAAATATACATGTGAAATAAAACTCAGTATTTTAATAAAGTTAAAAAAATAGAAGGACCATCCCATCTTTTATTTGCTAGAAGTGAGCATCTAAGCATTATCCCAGAGATTCCTTTGTAGGGATTTCCAGAAATCATCTCCTAGCTCAGTGTTGTGAGATCTCTTATCTTAATGATGCACCGTTGCTGCTCCCTCTGGGGTTTTGTTGTTGAACTGAGGAAGGTCACAGAGACCGTGCACGTTTCTCTAGACAGCCAATGTCATAAACCACTAGCTGAGGGGTAGCATACAGTTTGTAAGGTATTTTGATCTGAAAGTCAGGAGACTTGGACTGTAATTCCAGCTCTGCCAAGGACGAATGTCGTGACCTTTGAGATTTAAATAATTTTGACCTCAATTTTTCTCCCTAAAATTGAAGTCATTGTCATGTTTACCTCATAGGCTTATGGAAAGGATAAACTAATGATACCATTGTTACCTTATGCTCACAGCATGACAGCACTGGTGAACCTCAGCAGAGGGGACTGCAGGAGAAAACTAAAGAATTAACTGAAGAATTCTGCTTAGAGGTCAGGAGTACAAGTTTGAATGTGGAACTATTTGTGTTCAAGGCCCAGCTCTTGCATTTACCATGAGACCTTGCCTAAGTTACTTAACCTCTCTGTGCCTCAGTTTCTTCACCTGTTAAATAAAGTGCTAATTTCATAAGGTTTTCAAATATAAACCATTGTAAGTTCTGAACTTAAGGTTGTGTGCAGATTAGGTGGTCTTATATGTATATTACTGTATCCCCTAATGCTATGCAATGAGGCTTGCAATTGAATATTTCAAACCCGTTTTTCCTCACTACCCACATACATCTTCCCCCTGAGCAGTAGGACATGTCCATGCCATGATTGACTTCTGGCTCTACAGGTTTGTATCATGTGTTGATGCTATGAGTAGTAGGAGTATTCCTGGAGGCATTCCACACTTGAACATCTAGCAAGAGCATGACCATTCAAACTACGTAAATACTACCAACTTGAGCCAAAATGTGTCTCCACAGTTGACAATCAACAAATACAATACACAATACAATCATATGGTATTGTATTGGAGTTTCATGAATATACGTAAAAAGGAAAAGGTACAATAGGCAGGGGAAATCAGGAATCACAGCTGGAATGGAGTGAAGGAGGTGGAGCTGAAAACTGACACAAAATTAAATGCAGGGCTTAGGAGAGGGCTCATTAAGAAAGCCAGATTTAGCCAAGGACAGTGGCTTATGCCAGTAACCCCAGCATTTTGGGAGGCTGAGGCAGGCGAATCAGTTGAGCCCAGGAGTTTGAGACCATCCTGGGAAACATAGCGAAACCCCATCTCTACAAAAAATACAAAAATTAGCCAGTCGTGGTGGCACACCGGTCATCTCAGCAACTTGGCTGAAGTGGGAGCATCACCTGAGCCCTGGAGGTAAAGGCTGCAGTGAGCAGAGATAGCGCCACTCACTGCATTCCAGCCTGGGAGACGAACAAACAAACAAAAAAAGGCAAGATTTGTGTGAAGACTTACCGGTAGTGAGAAAATTAACAAAGCGGATTATCTTAGAAAAGTTACTTCCAACAAGAAGGGCCAAAAACCCACAAAAACTAATGGCAAACACCCAAGGAGAAGCATGCCTGCTATTCAAGAACCAGGAATAAGGGTCAATGGGGTTGGAGTGCAGTGAGGGAGGTAGAGAGTGACAGGAAGGGGTGTATAGAAAAGGGGGTCAGGGGAAGGAGAGGCAGAAAAATTATGTAGTGTCTTCTGACCTTACTGATTCTTTTCTCAGAGTAAAATGCAACCCATTATATGGTTTTGAGCCGAGTAAAGACACACTTTCATTTCATGTTTAAAGAGGGTTACAGTAGTAGCTGGAGTAAATAGACTGACTGTTACAGCAATCTAGGTAAAAGAAGATGATGGCTTCAAGCACTATGGACAGATAAGGAGAAATGTGGAAAGTAATGGGAAGTGGCCACAGATGCATTTTGACGTAGATCCAACAGGATGAGCTGATACAGTAGACACAGAGTGAACAAAACAGAAGAGTCAAGGACAACCTTATTAAGATGCTTGGCCAGAGAAATGAAAAGGATCAAGTTGATACCAGCTGAGAGGGGGAGGTCTGGGGATGGAGCAGGTTAATGGGAAAAGATCAGCCTAGTGTAGGACTTGAGTTTCAGAGACCTGTTAAATAGCTAAGCAAAGATGTGAACGGGCGTTTGAAAATTTGAGTATGGAATTTGGGTCTAAGCCTGTGACTTAAATTTGGGAGTAGTTATCATATAAATGTTGTTTAAAATCAAGTAACTGTATGAGGTCATCAAGGAAATGAGTACTACCTATATAAAGAAAAGACCAAACATATGCCTTTCCATTACAAGGCTCCTAAATAGAACTAAATCTGTGAGAGGTGTTAAATATCACAGTCTTCAATTTATCATCCAAAAGTCAGCCCATATATTTGTCAACCTATAATTGCCAAACGCATTGCAAGTGATAGGAAAGCTATTTAATTATATTTATTCTACAGAATTACTTTCATAGACCATGATTCAAAAGTACGCATTGACTGTCACCAGGAGTGATATAAGCAGTAGTGTTATGGGGAAAACCTCTGTATGATTTTGCAAACTTGCTTCTGGGAATTGTGTCTATTACTCATCTCCACAAGAGAAATCATGGTTTAGTACTTTCTTTCTGGATCCCCAGAAAGACAGGTAAGGCTTGTCTTTCCAAAGACCTGATATTTTTGGTTTTGATGCAATAATGAGAAATACATATTTTTTGAATTTCCTTTCTGTGGCTACTGTTGAATTTACATGGGAGAGTGGTTAAATGCCAACAATTTGGGGGTAGACCATCTGGTTTCCTGTCTCCCTTTATTACTAACTCACTATGGCACATTAAGAGGTTACTCAACTTGCCTTTTCTTTAGTTTTCTTATTTGTAAAATGAGGACAATAGCATTAGCTACTAGGCCTGGGAAAGGATAAAATTAACTTATTTATCCAAGGCATTTGTCATACTTATGTAACATATATTAGGCCCTATGTAAATTTTAGTTATAATTATTGGTAGTACTACTATTAGTAGGTAATATTTATGGAAATTTGACTACGTTCCCGGCATTATTTTAAACAGTTTACAGAGATGATCTCATTTAGCCTCTAATTTATAAACTGCACATTCTTATTGTTGCTACTCTATGAATGGTGTACACAGAGAAGGGGGAAATCATCAGTTTCTGCAGCCTGAACTTTCCATTACACATTCTCTATCTCTTTCCCTGTTTATTTGACATTTGTTGTCTATTACTCAGCAGCTATTCAGTCTTATTAATAAAAATAATGTCAACCTGCCTTCAAAGGTGAGGGTAAAAAAATATAAACTGTTTTAAAGCTCCAAAAGTTTTCCAAATTATGTATAACTGCTCTTTAGAATATTACACGTTTTGTACTACATCATTGAAAGACAATGTACTAGAACATGAGAAGCAATGGATTGAGCATCAGGACATGTGGGTTCTACTGGCAATTTTGGCACTAATTCCTAGGTAATTTACTTCTAGACATTTAAACCCTCTAGATCGCTGCTACTCCAAGTGCCAGTCTGTCAGACATAAGGATCGAGTACAATATACTCAAGGAAATCAACACACTGCTTCCTCCACCGAAGTGTTGTTCTCCGGAAAAACTGTGAGCTAAAAGAAACATGTGCTTAGGAATGTGATAGACTTACACTTGGCTAGCTGGCTGATCTCTCGGCAGAGGGACGATCGTAGTTGCGGGATGCCGTAGCAGAAGTCTGTGGACTACGGTTCTAGTCACATCGCTGTAGACCTTACAATCAGCATCTGTAGAAGGAAAGGGAGGGCTCTTTTGCTGGTGGACTCAATGATTTATATTTGTAACAATCTGTGTAAAACCTTGATTGCCATTGTAATACCAAGAGAAAAGCCAAGCCAACTGGAAGTCATAGGCCTTGACTACCTCAATATGAGAAAAATGATACCTGCATCATCAATTGTCCTCCAGCATCAAAGCCACTGTTTGCACCTACTGCTCAATTCTTACCCTAAGAGAATGATCCTTTCATGGAGGAGATGAACAGCTACTCAGACTTTATGGTCACCAGCTGAGTATTGCTTTAGGACGACCTCTCTTACTCTGCACAGTCCTGCATGCACCATTGGTACTTAGTCTTACTTACAAGATGTTTGTTTTACTTTTCTCCTCCTTTAAAAAGAAACTCATTCAAGTGGTCACTTACATACAGCAGCTGGAAGTCTTTAGGAAGGAGTTTTGGGGTTCACAAGGAAGAAGGAGGAGACACACCTGTCTTTCTGAAGCTGTTTGGACTGAATCACACCAGCTACTCTGGTCGGCAAATGCTGTACCAAGCCTGCCCTACGAGCTTTTAGAGCCAACATTTTTTAATCAAGAAGACCCACTGTATGGTAAAGGCCAACAAATACACTGGAAAACAGACAATCCAGCAGTTCTGATCTTCAGCTACCATCTTAGGCTGTACACAACAGGGAGAGCATCCAGGGCCCCATGCCCTCCACCAGCCCAGGAGGAGCTGCAGCTGCAGTGGTTTGGGTCAGATTCTGTTGTACAGCTTGAGATAAATGGAAGAAAATTAGGAGGAAAAATTACATAAATTGCAACTGAGGTGGTAAACTCATTTGACACATATTCATTTAAACCAAAGGTGCAGCACATTCACATAGTTCGAGAATAAATGTGGATATTTGTTACACAAGTGGGCGTCTAAATTCCACGCACAAGGCAAGAAGGGAGGATCTGTATTTCTAGCATCTTAACTGTCGTTGTGGACTTTTTCTCAGAACAATTAATTTTCCTTGCCACTCTGTTTTATCTGACTAAGGTGCTTGCTCAGGCTCTGTCCCCATGAGTATGTGCTGTCCCACTACAGTCCCTATAAGGTAAACTCCCCTCATGTCTGTAATCCCAGCACTTTGGGAGGTCGAGGCAGGCAGATCAGTAGGTCAGGAGATCGAGACCATCCTGGCTAAACCCCGTATGTACTAAAAATACAAAAATTAGCTGGGCGTGGTGGTTGGTGCCTGTAATCCCAGCTACTTGGGAGGCTGAGGTAGGAGAATCACTTGAACCCGGGAGACGGAGGTTGCAATGAGCCAAGATTGCGCCACTGCACTCCAGCTGGGCAACAGAGCAAGACTCCATCTCAAACAAACAAACAAAAAAAAGATAAACTCCCACTTAGGTTTGTCTTTATAACTTAGGGGAGAAGAGTCAACATTTATTGAGCACTTGCTTTCTGCCTGGTTTTGTATGAGATACTTCTGAAACATGAATTCCTCTAAAGCTTACAGCAACCTTCAAGACAGCTAAAATCATTCTCATTTGAAACCTGCTCTATTTTGTTCAAAAGATAACTACCAATATACAGTTTTAGAAGTGTAACCAATTCTTGATATTTTCTAGCGGATGTTGGCCATTGTGCCAGTTAATTTCTGTCTATTTCAGGAATATATATTCACCCATATGTAAGCCTTCATCATCACAAAGATTCGAATTGGTGTGTCTCATTTCTTATTGTTGCCTAAAACACAGCCAATAGCCATGGTTTATGACAAGCTATGTTGCCTTGAATATTAACTTCCCCTGCATAATTTTTTTCTTAATGGTCATTTTTTCTTACTGTTGTGAAATAATACCTGCCAATGTCTACTTAGCACAGAAACCAAAACATTAGGTCTGTGATTTATCCAAAATTAACACACATACCATGGATGGTTGTATCGATGGACGACATCCTGACTCAGGGCCTGAGAAGACTGATGTTTATAGCCAAGGCTGTGTCCCAGGGAGATCCGCATAATTGGTTTCTAAAATATCCATACTGCAGGATGAGAGTTACCAGGGAAATCTAATCCCTTTTTCACCTCCCCTGCAACCTGGGAACATTAACAAGGAAGTGGAGCCGAGGAGAAATCCTGGGGCACCTGTTGCCTCTGAGTGCCACAGGAAAGGGCCAGCTAATTCAGTTTGAGGTCTAATTACGCTCAGGCTCTAGGGCTTTCAGCTGTTGTTAGTTTGGATGCCAATTAAGATCTTATTTCCTCCTTCATAAGAGAAGTCTTCTGAGGAAATGGCAGTTTTATTTCTTTTCAAGGTGGCACGTCTCCCTTATTGACCCTTTGTTTTATTGTGAGCCACTTAATACACTGTTAGCTGAAAGGGAATTAGGCTCAATCCTACACGTAAGTAAAATAAAACAATATTCCTTCTGTAGAGCTGCAGTCTACCTGTTAGACCTAAAACCAAACAACACAAATGCGAAGTGAAATGAGAATAAAACTAGCCTGCTCACATTCACATAGTATTTTATTGTTTCCAAAGAAAATGTAGGATTATTAAACCTAGAGAATGTAAAATAAGAGAAGACTGTGGAGGTTTGAGGTTTTGTTTTGTTTTGTCTTATTGTTTCTTTGTCCAATAAAGTGTTTGAGAGGGGTCAGGGATAGTGGCTGCAATGGTTAGTTAGGCTCTATCTAAACTAAACATCGATTTTTGACAATATGGGGGAAAGACAACATTTTCTGAAAGAAGGAACATCTCACTGTCACTAATGAGAACAATATATAATAGTTCAATAAAGCCACTACTTTTTTAATGAAGGTAATAGTCTACCTTTGAATTCTTTTATGTTAAAGATATTTTTATTGAACTTAGTTTTTTAAATGCATTTGGCTCGGATAATGTTATATTTTCTGGTCCAATCTGGATGGTTCTTCTTTTCTTTCATTATAATGTGAGTTTCAGTCTTCTTACTGCGTGCACGTATTCTGATCCTGGATTTACACTCTCAGCAGAAAAATTTCAGGCCCCATTTCTGCCTTACCCGGAAAAGAGAAACTCTTGTTCCCTCAGGACTACTAGGGAGAAAACTTAAGACATTCTCAACACTCAACTTCTTGGAAACTGAAGCAACTTACTTGATAGGCAAGACTAGGCCCTGGGTGGGTCTAGTCATATTATTTAAATCAATGTGAGATACAGTTTTGCCCCCTTCATGGGATCCATTTGCCCGCAAAACTATTTTCTTGTCTCTGCCTCCACCTTCCTCCATTCTTTTTACCAACCTGGAGAGGCCCAGCTCCCTTGTGGAGCCACCGTTTCTGTGGCTGGGATGTCTAGATTCCAATCAGAAAAATAAAAGACACCCTAATTTAACAGAGGCTTTAATAGAAAGAATGCATTACACAAGTGTCAGAAGACAAAGATGCCAAATAGAACTGATAATACAACAGTCAGAAAACATCATTAATATAATGTTCCCCTCCAGGCTGAAAGGATAAAAGAAGTATGCTGGAACCTGAGGGCAGCTACAACTGTGGTAATCCTGTCTGGCTTGGCAGACGAGAGACACACAGCCCCTACCAGATATGTCTCCGAGACAGACAGAGAAAAACACCCTCAGGTCTTTCCTTCCATGCTCTAATCTTTGAGACTTCCAATGACCAAAGCAGTCAGCATCAGACGAAAGGGAGTACAGAAGGGCCTGGAAAATCAGAAGTTTTCCTTGAGATTTAGAAGAAATCAGAAATATTCAGAAGAAATTCAGTTATGCAAAGTTTAAATGTTTAAATACCCTCCATCAACTCTGCTAAAATGGCTATTTCCTGCCAGTGGTCTCTGATAAATTTCTATTGCCTGTTACATGCTGTCTGACAACGTTTTTTAAAACTATTTCCATAATTCTACATTTTTGTCTCTCTTTGAACTTTCAATTATCTCTATGTATTTTCGCTAAGCTATACAAAGATTTTAGCAGAAATATTAATTTCTAGATTGGGTCTTAGAAGAAAAAAAAACTAAATTCTTCAATTGGAGAGAAATAAGCAAATTTCTTACTAAGGATAAAAATTAAATTGTTAACCAGTATTGGTAAGACTACTCCCTATTCTTATCCCATTCCTGCACTCGTTTTCTGAGATATAAACTCTGAGATGAAGTAGCTTGCCTCTCCTCTATTTTAGAACTAAATCAGACTGAAAGCACACAAATATCCCAAAGCAATTGAAATAAGCAAAGATTCCATATATTTCATGCAATAAGAAAAGGCTATGACAAGCCCCAAGGACCTGCACAATGGCTCTGCAAGCTCACCAAAGACCCATTTTCCTCCTATATTTTTGATTTTTCTATATTCTTGCTGCAAAATGGCTGCTCTATCTGTAAACATTGTATCCACATTTTAAGCAGAAAGAAGGTGGAAGGGTATAGGAAAAAGAGAAAATTGCATCTATTCCTTTTCAAAGGCTCTTCAGAAGGATTGTTCATTTACATATATCCTTGGGAAGACCAGACTAGAGTGCATGACTGTGAGAAGGAAAATTAATAGTTTTGGCTGAGCACTTTTCTACCTTGCTCAAAGCAAGTTCCACTAGCTGGAAATAAAGGGGATTGAGATCATCTGGACAAGTGTCAGTATCTGATACAGTCCATTCTTTGGTCTATCCAACATCCATACCTGCACTTTTCCCATCCATACACATCCTTAAAACACGCTTCCTAACTCCCCCAGGGAAATGACCACAAAGTCTCACCCACCCCAAAGTCTAGCATTTCTGTGAATTATACGGTCCTCTGCCTAAGGTAAGATGTGTCTCTTAACCATCTGATAATCAATTGGCACAAGATACCCATCATACAATAATGGAGAAGAAACAAGATAATCTCTTGGTCTGGATGGGTAGAAAGGGCAACACAGCAGTTCCTGGAACATAGCACAAGTCAAGACCATCTGAAAAGGAATAGTAAGTACCTTGCCCTAACAGAGAGGTGAGTCTCTTGGTTTTATCTATGGGACATTTTTCTCCTTTGTTGCTCTTCATGACCCAACAGCTCTGCCTTCTGGGTGGATTGCCCACATTAAATTTCTCCATGAACAGAGTGGGGTGGGCCCCAGGGAGAATATCCTTCCTGGAAGATGTACCATTTTGCAGCCCACTTCTATGGTACAAATTTAGGGCATTACGGGATTTCTCAGTGGATGATGAAAAAGGTTGTTGATGCTCTGTTTGGAGTTGGCAATGCGCTTTTCTCAGACAACACGGAATTCATGTCTATCTACTTCCTATTAATTCTACATGGAGTAACTGTAGCCAAAGTTGTCTAGGCATATTCATCAGATCATTGTACTATTTAATCTCAGCAGCAGTTCTCTGTGGTCTATCCTTATCCCTCCCTTAAATTATGGGCTGTGTTCTGAGGCAATTCAAAACAATAGTATCTAGAGAAATAACAACATCCTTGATCACGACCTGGTGGAAAATTTTCTCTCTTTGTCTTGCAGATTCTAATTGAGAGGTGTTTGAAAAAGGCCTAAGACCCCAAAATTATCTACTACTAAAATGGTTGCTTTTCAGCTACAGCATTTGCAAGTTTCAGTTTAGGATATAAAAACTGGCTTTTTAAATCATGTAGTCTGGATTTAGAAACTCATGCTAGGTAATAGTTTAACTAGATTTGACAGTCTGATTTAGGCTTGATAGATAAGAAATATTTAAAAATGTGTGAATTTGAAAATGAGTGGAGAAAAGTGAAGCCCAGAACTGGTGTATTTTCTTCATAATTGGATTATATAGCAGTCACAGGATGCAAAACTATTATTTATCTGTTTCCTCTATCCCTAATTTAATGTCTGTAAGTATCTGAATTTAAGAAACACAAATTCTAAAGATCTAATGTACAACACAAAGGCTAAAGTTAATAGAATTGTATTGTATTAGGGATTTTTGCAAACAAATAGGTTGTTTTCACAAAAAGTAACTGAGGTGATAGATATATTAATCTGCTTCACTACTATGACCATTTTACTAATGTATCCCAAAACGTCATATTGCAAACCTCAAATATATGCAATAAAGTGTATTAAAATTTTAAAAACAAACAAACAGAAAATCAGTCTCAGTCAACACAGATTTTGGACTGCAGGTAGAGAATAACCCAGAAACTCTCCCTGTCTCTATTTGAAGGCTGACAGTACTACACCAAGCTCATGCTTCTTCACTGGGAGGACTTTACCGAAGGTGGCATGCAGCAGCCAACATAGCCATACCTTCTGTATTTCCTACCAGTTATCCTCACTCTGTAGTTACAGTTGGTGCTTGGTTGTATGTGCCCAAATATCACAAACTACAGTTTCCAAAAATGTTTTTATTGACCAAAATTGATCTCAGGTTTCTAAGCTGGGAAGGTTGCATCCTCAATTCCCACTGTCTTTCTCCTCCCCTCTACTAATTCCAAAATCTAAGCTTGTTATTTTCGTTAACAAGTGGTAAATGAAAGCATGCTTAAAACAGCAAGACCTTTATTTTATTTGTAACCTACAAGGAGAATGAAGATGAGCAGTCCGGATCTGAAAAGGGACCTCTGCAGTGTTCCCTAAGACTCTATCGCCTTCCCATTCCACCACACTTCCAGTGGGACTCTTCTTCACATGACTGCGAGGCAGGACAGCATCTTATGCTATCACAATTTTACTCAAATGAAAGAGATGAGGGATAACAGTGAAGAAATGAAAGAGGCAATGGACTCAAGAAACAGGCCAAATAAAATGTTTTTTGGGGGAGCTTAGCCGAGAGGTGACCCCTGGAAGCATCTGCTTATATCCACTCAGCCAACGTGAGGTGGGGTGACTGTTCCCACTCGTAAGGGGTTTACTATCAGGAAACAATTTTGATCGGCACATTAATGTCTCAAAATTGAAGTTGTCTTTATATAATATCTGATTATTAAAATCTTTCATCATACAGAAAAGTTGGAAAATGATGCGCTGAAAACTCAAATACACCCCACGTGGGTTCTACAGCAGACGTGTGCTCTATTTGCGTTATCACTTATCTGCCTTTTTATGAGCCATTAATCAATTCTGTTTTTTGATGCATTTCAAAATATGTTGCATATTCCTGTATATGCCACCCCTAAACACTTCAGAATCTGTATCATTAACTACAATTAAATATTTTATGCTGATTTAAGTAAAATTTACGTTGTGTGAAATGAACCAAACTTAAATGTACCTTCATTAAAAGTTAGCAGATGCACACATTTGTGTAACCAAAGCTCAAGTTTCAGAGCACTGCTGTCACTTCACAAAGTAGCCATGGAACCCTCCCAGTCAATGCTCACCCCATTTCCCCACTCTTCTGACTGTTTAAAGAAAGACTCGTTTCGCCTGTCTTAGCACTTTCTATGAATGGAACCCTACAGCGTATATGCTTCTGTGTCTGGTTTCTTTTTCTCAGCAGATGGGTTTTGTGTACCTGTACTCAGCCTTTGTTGTTTCTGAGCAGTCTTCCACTATAGAAACACTCTACAGTGTATTCATCCATTCTCCAGTTGATTGACACCTGGGCCATTTTCAGGTTTTGGCTATTTTGAATGAAGCTGCTTTAAACATTCATGTACAAGTAATTTTGTGAATGTATGCTTCATTTCCTTTGAGGAAATGTCTGGGTGTAGAACTGCTGGGTCATAATGTAAGTGTATGTTTATTTTTCTAAGAAAATGCTAGACATTTTTCCAAAGTGGTTATACAACTTATACTCTCACTAAAAATATATGAGAGTTCTGGTTGTTTCATAGCCTTGCAATCATTTGTTGTTGTGAGTCTTTTTAATTTAAGCAATTCTGATGGCCACATAGTGCTATCTCATAGTGATTTCAGTTTACATTTCCCTATTGAATAATGATGTTTCATATCTTGTTATAGCTTACTATTTGTATGTCTTCTTTGTGAACACAGAGATGTATGTCCATTATTTTATTTTATATAAGATAAAATAAAGAGTTGTATTTAATTTTTGACTTGTAGGAATTATTTACATGTTTTGGATATAAGTTTTTTTAATCATTCATATATGTAAATACTAGGTAGTTGTTATTCAAAGACAAATAAAATATATCCTAGTCCCTAAATCAAATAAGTTTGAAATATAGACTGAGTGAACTTGATTAATGATTCATATCCTTTCTCTTGAACATATTTTGGGAAACATTTTCTACCCTAAAGCAGAAGGCTTATCATGGAGTCATGAAATTGTAAGCTGGGATAGCCTATGAGTTTCCTAGGCCGCTGTAACAAAGTACCACAAGCTGAGTGGCTTAAACAACAGGAATGTATTGTTTCACAGTTCCGGAGGCTAGAAGTCCAAGAGCAAAGTGTTGACAGGGCTGTGCTTCCTTTGGAGGTGCTAGGGAAGGAAGGATCAGTTCCATGCCACTCTCCTAGCTCCTAGTGATTTGCTAGTAACCTCTGGTGTTCCTTGACTTATAGACGTGTCACCCCAATTTTTGCCTTCACGTTCACATGCATTATTCCTGTGTGGGTCTCTGCATCAAAATCTTTCCTTTTGATAAGAACTCGGTCATATTGGATTAGGGTAAACACTAATGGCTATATATTAACTAATTACGTCTGCAAAGACCCTATGTCCAAATAAGGTCACCTGCGTAGCCTAGGTCCTCAGTGTGAAGACATCAATATCTTTTTGGGGGAGACAATGCAACCCATAACAGATAGGCTCTTCAAAGTGGATTTTTGAAGATTTCTTGGCTCATGTTTGACCCCTCTGGGACATCACTGCCAATATTTCTATTAGCCTCTGCTCCATTGTCCCTGATGATGAAGGCAGAGCTGCCCCACACCAGTTCCTCTATGGGAAAGCTGACAGGAAGAAGATCCTGTGTCTAAATGAATGATCATTTGTCTTGTCACCCTCTTGTGTTCCACGCCTCTACCTACACTACAGGCAGAAGACTGGGTTTTGTGGGGGGTCCTCCTATAGGGATGTCATTGAAGATAGGAGCACTTCCAAACTTAAGTAAAGCTTTCATTTTAGGTGAGAACAGCTAATACATTACTTCTTTGGCTGTCTGTGTATTTTAGATAATCAAACTCTGGGCTTACTTTTAATACATAACAGGAATTTTCTAACATGAGTGTTAATAAGTTACTTTTATAACTCCCTTGTCAGCAACAGCTTCATTTATTGGCACAGACCACTTGCAGTAATGCATGGGTTTAAGAAACGCTAGGAAAAGTGATGCATAGTTTTGATACTTAACAATGTTATTTGAATCATTTGTCCTAGTGTCTATAAGTAATATGGTGGGCAATCAGGATCCAGTGCTTAGCTTTAGCAACATGGCCAAACTGCCATAAGGCCATATATACCCATATAACCATGAGGAGATTAATCTGAAAACACAGGGGTTATTTTCTTCAACAAAACAAGAGCAAATAACATTTGCTCTCCACAGCAGAACAGTGTCATTAAATAGTGTCGTCATGAGGCTAAGCTTAATGCGCTGTCACTGGACAAGATTAAGGAATGAGCATGAACAGTCCATGATCTAATCCATATTTGAGTAAAGTCATAAAAAAGAGAGTAAAATATGGAGGAGAAAGCATGGGGGATAGGTAATAGACCAGGAAACATAACGAAATAAGGGTACTTTTGGAAAACAATTATTCTTATGGTGTAATGTTTGTTAAAAGCTTCTATATATCATTATTTCATCCTAAATCCAGTGTGTCGTCAATGCCATTATTTATGACACAAATAAGTCTCTATATGAAGATGCATCTTCTTCCAAAAGATTCTTCCAGGTTGACTTCAGCCATCAGAGATGGCTGCATTTCCAGTAAACTCTTAATAACTCCTTTTAACAAGAGACTAGAGTCTTTTCTCTGATGAAATATGTGTATGTTAAAACAGAGTTCTTGCATGTATTCCCCCGCCATTTTGCATGCCAGACTTTAATTTGATGATATAGCCCCACAAAAGACAAAAACCCCAAAACAAAGAAACAATAATAAAATAATAGCTACAATAATAATGAAAAATAAAAGGCACATATGATTATTTAAAAAAACAATGTAGCCCACAATTAATTTTTCTAAATACAATTTACACTCAGTCACTAACAATCTGAGCATTTGTTGTATCATCTGGTTGGCAAGTGCTGCTGGATGAACAGCTGAAAGCGGACAAAAGGCTCTTCCAGCGCAGCTTGCCTGGGTTCTGAGGGATGTGGAGCACCTCCTGTCACTCAACAGAGAGTTTGCCTTGTGAATATGTAGGAGGAATGTCAGGGAGAAGGTGCAGCTAGAAATAGAAGACTGAGAGGCCTGGTACAATGTGATCAGTGTGAATGATTCCTGACAAGGTCCTTCAATGCACCAGAAGTCCAAGTGAGCTATCCCTAGGGGCGATCAGCCTACAGAGGATGTTCTTTTGTTAAGGCAAGGCCACTTTTCATAACCCAGGTGAATTCAGCTCCAGTGAGGCATGGATGACTCACCCTTTCTCCTGCCTCCTCCACTTCTCCAGCTCAGGAGGAAACTGCCTGAAGCCTGCACAAAGCCTTGCCGGTGAAAAGGCCTTGCATGTTTGCCTCTCTCCTTCTCCCCACCCTCTCTGGGACTAAGAGAAATGCCGTCTGTAAGGAACTGTCTTCCCACCAGAATGAAATTCTCTTCCAAAGAACAAATAGAAATGTAGAAATATTTTCCAGTTGAAGATATAAATCGAAAAATACCAAAGATGTCTTCCCTAGTGAAGGCAATATCACTAACCATCTACTCATTCCTGGTATTTCCTAGATTTCTCACTGGGAATTTTTTAAGTCATAGAATGTGTCCTGTTGGTGGTTAAGATTTAAAGAACAATCAGTTCAGCCTTTAAAAATGAATATCTAACTTTGTCTTCATATTGGATGATTTGAGATGTTACTTTAAAATATATTAATTCCTAGCATCCACTCCAGAAATTTGGATTAGTTCCCTCTGAGATGGAGGATGGTATGTTTTTTAAATCTTCCCATCTAATTCACTATCAAGTGAAATTTGAGAACCACTGATCTATTATTTATTTATTTTTTATTTTTATTTCATTTTATTTCATTTTATTTTTGAGACAGAGTCTTGCTCTGTTGCCCAGGCTGGAGTGCCGTGGCACGATCTGGGCTCACTGCAAGCTCCGCCTCCCAGGTTCACGCCATTCTCCTGCCTCAGCCTCCTGAGTAGCTGGGACTACAGGCACCTGCCACCACGCCTGGCTAATTTTTGTATTTTTAGTAGAGATGGGGTTTCACCGTGTTAGCCAGGATGGCCTCCATCTCCTGACCTCTTGATCTGCCCAGCTTGGCCTCCCAAAGTGTTGAGATTACAGGTGTGAGCCACTGCGCCCAGCCCCACTATTGATCTATTATATCCAAATTCTAATTTTTCTAATTACAGAAAAACATTCTCATTAATTATTAACCAGGACTCTACAATCTTTTCTTTTGAAAATCACAAAGAAAACATGTCCTAAGTCACTCTATAAGGCCAGCATTATGCTAATACCCAAATCAGATAAAGGCATTAAAAGAAAACTGCAGACAAAATGACTTTTATGAATATTGCTGCAAAAACCCTCAACAAAATATTAACAAACCAAATTCAACAACATATAAAAATAATTATATAGCACTACCAAGCAAGATTTGGTATACAAAGGTATACAAAGATGGCTCAACAGTAAAAAAAAAATCAATGGAATTCACCATATTAATAGGATGAAGAAGAAAAATCATGTAATCATTTCAATTGATAGTAAAAATAATTTGAGAAAATCAAACACCTATTTATCATTAAAAATTCTCAGAAAATGAATAATAAAAGGGAACTTGAAGAACTACAAAACCTATATTCAACGTCATACTTAATGATGAGGGACTAGATAGTTTCTCACTAAAATCAGAAATAAGGACAAAATATCTTGTCTCAGCACTAGTGCCTGCAAATATACAAAAGTCTATTGCTTTCCTATATATTGGAAATGACCAATTTGAATTTGAAACTTAAAAATTTGGTGCCATTTGCAGTAGCACCGGAAAATGAAATACTTGAGTATAAATATAACAAAATATATGCAAGAACAGTACTCATAAAACTACAACTCATTAATGAAATAAATCAAAGAATATCTAAATAGAAGATATCCTGTGTTCATGGATTGGAATTTTCAATATGGTTAAGATGTCACTATTTCCCAAATTGAACTATAGTGTCTATGAAATCCCAATCAAAATTCAGCAAGCTATTTTCTAGATGTCAACAAATTGATAGGCAAGGACCTGGAACAATCCACACATACTGAAGAATAGCAATTTAGGGGATTTCACCACCCTATTTAAAGACATTGGAATGCCATAGTAACGAAGATAGTGGGGTATTGGTGAAGAAATACACACATAGTCCAGCAAAAATCCACATAAATAAATTGGTGATTTTTCACAAAAGCACAAAGACATTTCAATTGAGAAAGTCTAGGGTTTTGTTTTTGTTTTTGTTTTTGTTTTAGTGAATGGTTCTGGTACATTTCAATGCTTATGTGAATAAAAAGTTGAACCTAGACACAAAACTTAAACTTTAAACACAAATGTAACTCAACATGGATCATAGAACTAATGTAAAATGCAAGACTATAAAACTAGAAGAAAACACAGGAGAAAATATATGAAAGACTGGGTTTGGTTATGAGCTTCATTATAACATCAAAATCAATGCACATTAAATAAAAAATTAATAAGCTAGTTTTTTCTTTTTCTTTTTCTTTTTTTTTTTTTTTCTATTTGAGACAGGGTCTCACTCTATCCCCCAGGCTGGAGTGCAGTGGCAGGATCACGATTCTTTGCAAACTCAACCTCCCAGGCTCAAGCAATTATTCCGTCTCAGCCTCCCAAGCAGCTAGGACTACAGGCTTGCACCATGACCCTCGGCTAATTTCTGTATTTTCTGTAGAGATGGGGTTTTGTCATGTTGCCAAGGCTGGTCTTGAACTCCTGGGCTTAAACAATCCGCCTGCCTCAGCCTCCCAAAGTTCTGGGCCTACACGTGTGACCCACTGTGTCTGGTGAGCTGGATATTATTAAAATTAAAAACTTTTGTTTAGGTAAAGACACTGTTTAGATAATGAAAAGGCAAGAAAAAAACAAACAAATTAAAGGCTTGGAGAAAATATTTGCAAAACACATTTGACAAAGGTGATGTTTTTAAGATATATAAAAAAATTCAAACTAAATAAAACAGTAATAACTTAATAAAAACTCAGAACAAAAACTCAATTATAAATTAGGTGAGGATTTGAATGAGCACCTCACAAAGAAGGTATACAGATGGCAAGCATAAGAAATTATGTCTAAAATTATTTGTCATTAGGGAAATACAAATTAAAACAGTAATAGAAGACACATCTATTAGCTTGGTTAAAATTAAAAAACAACACCAATTGCTGATAAAGATGCAGAACAACAGGAATTCTCATTCATTGTGGATGAGAATACAAAAAGGTACATTTTGGAAGAGAGTTCGGCAGCTTTTTACAAAGCTAAACATAGTCTTGCCATACAATCCAGCAATCAATCACACGCCTAGGTATTTACCAACTGATTTGAAAACTTATGTTCACACAATACCATGCACATGAATGTTTATAGCAGCTTTATAATTGCTCCAAACTGGAAGCAACCAAGATATTCTTAAGCAAATGAATAAACAAACTCTGGCACACCCTCACTATAAACTACTATTTAGCAATAAACAAAAATACTATCAAGGCACACAAAGATATGGGTGAATCTTATCTGCATTTTGCCAAATGAAAGCAGCTAGTTTATGATTGTATATATAAATGATTCCATTTCCAAGGCATTCTGAAAAAGGAAAAACTATAGGGGTGATAAAAAGATTAGCAATTGCCAAGGGTTAGTGGGTAGGGAGGATTAATATGTGAAGCCCAGGGAATTTTATAGAACAGTGAAAATATTCACTGTATGAACCTGTAATGGTGGCTACATGGCATTAGGCATATGTCAAAACCCATAGAACTTTATAGTGCAAAGATTCAACATTAATGTATACAACTTAAGAAAAATTAGGATGTTGGGGCCATCCAAGTGTGGAATGTAGCCTGTGACAAAAACAGTTTAACTGTATTATAAATATATGAAAATACCTCACTGAAGGGGTTTAAAAACAAGCAAAGTTCTTGAATAGACATTTCCACAAACAAGACAGTCAAATGGCTAATAAGCACATGAAAAGATGTTCAGCATTCCTAATCACCAGGGGAATGCAAATCAAAACTCCTATGAGATTCTACTTCACAATCATTAGAATGTCTACTATCCACAACAACAAAAACCCAGGAAATAACGAGTGCTGGCAAAGATTTGGAGTAGCCTTATGCACACATAGTGAGAATGTAAGATGGTGCAACCCCTGTGAAATATGTATGGCAGTTACTAAAAAAAAAAAAAAAAATAGAATTACCATAGGATCCAGCAATTCCACTTCTGGATATACACCCCAAAGGATGGAAAGCAGGGCCTCAATGATATGTTTGCACACCCATGTTTATAGCAGCAATATTCACAATAACTAAAACATGGAAGCAACCCAAGTGTCCATTGAGGGACGAATAGATAAGCAGAATGTGCTATCCACATGCAATGCATATTATTCAGCCTTAAAAAGGAAGTAAATTCTGACACATGCTACAAAACAGATGAAATGTGAGGACATAATGCTAAGTGAAATAAGCCAATCTAAATAAGCCAATATAAAATGACAAATATTGTATAATTTCACTGGTTTGTGGTACTTAGAAAGTCAAAATCATAGAGACAGAAAGTAGAATGGCAGTTGCCAGGAGCTGCAGGGAGTGGATAATGTTGAATGGGTTATGGTAATGTCAGTGTTCAATGGGTCCAAAATTTCAGTTTCACATGAAGAAAAGTGTTCTGGATGTGGATGATGCTGATGATTGTACAGTCTTATAAATGTATTAATAACAATGAACTCTACACTTAAAAATGGTTTATATGTAAATTTTATGTCATGTGTATTTTACCAAAATGAAAAATATGGAAAAAAAAGTGATACCGAGAAACATATTTTTAAGAATGCAGAACAATTAAAAATGAAAGAACATAAAGATATACTGTATAGATAATTATCAAAGAAATATGAAATAAAAATAGATTTACTAATATCAGGAAAAAGATTTTAAGCAAAGAAACATGAATAGGAATAAAAAAGTGTATTTCACAGTGATAAAGAGGTCAATCCAATAGGAAGTTAACACAATCCAAAATCTGTGAAAATCTATACATAGATTCAAAGAATTTATGCATAGTTTCTTAAAAACCTAGAAAAAAAGTAAATAAAAGATAAAATCCAAGGAAGAAAATGATAATAAAAAACAAAAAAGTCAATGGGATAGAATATATACATAAAATAGAGGAAATAAAGCTAAAATTGGCTCTTTGAAAAGATTATTTCAACTAAGCCCCAGGTGATATACATCAAGGAAAAAGAGAAAAGAAATTATAAAATTCCAGAATGAATAAGGATACATCATTAGAGACCCCAAATAAATAGAATTATATCTTCCTGAGTAGTAAGAATGCTTGGAATATGCAGTTCTAGGCTTAATTCACTTCTTTAGTAATTTCAGGACATCTGGCCTCTCTTTCTTGGCTGCAAGGGAGCTGCTGCAGCTTCAGGCATTCCTTCCTCAAGGAATTGTGATCAGAAGCATTAAACGGAATTGAGATTTTCTCTTCACCTACTCTATATTATCAAAGAAAATTATTTCCTAGAATTAAACTAATAGACATAATTCATATGCCATTGGTTGGAACTAGGGTTACACGTCTTCTATTGGAGGGACTTTAAAACCTATACTATGGCATCAAAGTTCCCTACTTCTATTTTAAAATTTTTTTATAATCAGTAATGAAGAGGGGTGATATCTTTTGGGGAAGCTGACAAAATTCTCTGCCACATTTAGCATTTTCTCAGATGCATGAGTAAATAAATTCTTTCTTTTGCAAAAGCTAATGTTGAATGACATTTGCATCCAGCATGGTGCAGGCTAATACAAACTGGACCCTACTTATCCATTAATATCTATCCTTGGGAATCAAAATAATGAATGTTCTAGTTACAAACAATTCAGTCATTAAAAATATTCATCTTTCACTGCCAACCATTCCTATATGTGCTGCTATACATTTTTATAGATAATAAAACTATTTATTTTTCAATATTTTATAATGCAAAGGTAAGTTTTTTGCTCTGCAATACAGATATATAAAGTAGATGGGTATATTCTACAAATAAAATAGTAAGTAAAATGCAATTTTATTCAAGAAGTAGTTCTAGTTGACAATCATCAATCAGATATTGTTCATGGCTTTGCTATGTGAGAAACATACTGGCCACCAAATGCTCTCAGTCCATAAGATACACAACCTAAGTCCAACTTACTGAGGTAGGTGCTTTGTTGGAAATAAGTTTAGGGAGATAAGAGAGAACAGACAGTGATACAAGAAAAATTAAAATATTTTCCTGGAAGAGAAGCATTTTGTAAATATGTACATCCCGATGGTTGATCACACATTTTTCTCTTGCTGTAGACTTTGCCTAAATAGAAATAGTTGCTGATCAGTGTTGTGGAGTTCATCCATCGATTGCACTGACTATTTATGATGGAAGTCTGACGTGAATTGTTTATTATCAACTGGGTGGTGTGTAAAATGTTGATGCGATGATTGAATCAGAAATGTATTTGGACCCCCTACATAGCACAGAGTTTGTTTCCTAAACAATTCTGGTTAAAGCAAAAATCAAAGATATTTTTGAAAAAATAGAACTTAGAAAAACAAATTCAGTCCAGCTGACATTAAACTCTGCTCCTGTCAAACCAAACAGGATTTTAATGTCTCTTGCCTGTTAAGTATTAGTGAGGAATCTGTCTAAACAGTAAAAAAATACAATCCCACAGTCATTAAATCAAAGTAATTAGAACTCCAGTGATGGGTGAAAGTGGAATCGTATGTTCTTCCTCGCTGGGAGTTATCCATTGGCTGGGGTATTTGAAAATCCATGACTTCAGGTGGAGAGCTGAAGCTAAATATTATGATGTGCTTTGTGTGTGCGTGTTATGCAGGTTATCCTGAGCTACATGTTTTGCCTCTCTCATGCAGGAGATAAATTATATAGTGAAACTAGATGTTTAAAAACCATGTGCTACTCTTTGATAGCAACCTATAGGAGTTAGCTGTGTATACGTCAGTTGTCCCCAGATATTTAATATTTGCCTGGTATATTGTTGATGTAGAATTCTTCTTTCCTTTGGGATTCTGGTATATTTGACTCAACAAACTCCCAAAACAAAGTGGAAATTCTATTAAATATGCTGTGGATTAAAAATCACCTCCACTAAAGGGCAGAGTAAGATACCAGCAGAAACAGCAGCCACCGATGCTTCATGAATAAAAGCCGCACTCAACCTTGAGTTAAGTGGCTGAATGGCAAGTGGCTTTCTCTGTTAAGCAGATTCTAATACTACAAAACATTTTTTTCACATCTGTTTTTAATCCTGAAATATAACATACATTGCAGAGTATACAGTAAAGATAAATTTAAAACATAATAAATCCTCAAAATGCAACAAAATTAGTTATAAAATCATTGCTTGAATGATTTAGTATCAAATTAAATATTTATTCCACATTATGGTAACAGTCAACAATGTCCCTTCGTTATGTCATATATAAAAAAACAGACCTTCAATTTTGCAGTGACTAATATTTGGAATTCACATAGACATTGATATACCTTGTATTTCTAGTGTAATATTAATAAAATAATAACTAATGTTAAACATACATTGACCCATCACTATGTGGCAGGCAAGGCCTTCAAGCTTGAAGTGCAATGCATTCAGTAATCCTCACAATGTACCTTCAAGCATTGTTACTTCCGTTTAGAGATGAGAAAATTATGGCCTTGCCTCACTCATGTAGGCCAACTGCTCAGTATCATGCAACTTCTAAATTGTGCGTCTGGGATTTTGACTCTGTGCTATAGGACCAGGCAATTACATCAAAGCCAATCAACTGGGCCACTTTCCTTTGCCACCTTCTCACTAAAAGACATGGCATTCCAGGAAAGTGTGTTGCATAAAACAGTTGTGAAATGATTTCATAAATAGTAATATTCAGCCTTTAATTTGAAACTATTATGTCATATGCTACCTTTTGTTAAACTTTTCTTTTCTATCAGTAATTTACTTCACGCTCATTAATGATGATGATGACATTTTACAACCAGTAAGGATTTTGGAGGGATGGCACATTTGGCAGAGAAGAGACAGACCAGAGTTATTGATTGTGTTGATGTTGACAACCACCCTGTCATGGCCAGCTCTCTCTGCAGCCCTCCCCACAGCCTCCATGTGACATGTGTAAGCAGATGGTGTGCTGTCAGTAACGCAGTTCTTTCTCTTTTCTTCCTTTTCTTCCATCACAATAAGTTCATCATCAGGGTAGTGCTGGTGGAGATTCATGGAAATTGGGCAGGTTTACTAGGCAGCCAGCTAATGATGCTATGCCAGGCAGAGCCTACATCCCTTCTGTTCTGACTTAAAATTTGCAGCACGACTATTTATTCTAGGCAGAGATGACAGTGTACCTCTAATAGCTCCCTGGCTTACCTAAAAACATCACCTGGAAGGAAGAGCTTATCAACTGGTTCCTCACAATGCCCTCCATGAAGAGGCCAGTGGGACAGAAGGGCATGCCAACAGCTGGGCTCTGCTGAGCCCATGCCCCCACATTTCACATTCTAAGCATTCCATGTGACATGTGAATATCTCTGTCTTACAAATTAGAAAATTAAGTTATGGTACGGCCAGTTTCATTACACAAGGCTACTGTATTAGTCCGTTTTCACACTGCTAATAAAGAAACACCTGGAGACTGGGCAATTTACAAAAGAAAGAAGTTTCATATGGCTGGGGAGGCCTCACAATCATGGCAGAAAGCAAACAGAAGCAACTCACATCTTGTATGGATGGTAGCAGGCAAAGAGAGAGCTTGTACAGGGAAACTCCCCCTTACAAAACCATCAGATCTCTTGAGACTCATTCACTATCATGAAAACAGCACAGGAAAGACCTGCCCCCATGATTCAATCATTTCCCACCGGGTCCCTCCCACAACATATGGAATATGTGGGAGCTACAATTCAAGATAAGATTTGGATGGGGACACAAAGCCAAACCATACCATTCTGCCCCTAGCCCCTCCCAAATCTTGTGTTCTCACATTTCAAAACCAATCATGCCTTCCCAACTATGATGGTTAATACTGAATGTCAACTTGATTGGATTGAAGGATGCAAAGTATTGATCCTGGATGTGTCTGTGAGGGTGTTGCCAAAAGAGATTAACATTTGAGTTGGTGAGTTGGAAAAGGCAGAACCACCGGAAATCTGGGAAGGCACAGTCAGATCAGCTGCCAATATAGCTAGAATATAAACAGGCAGAAAAATGTGAAAAGAGAGACTGGTCTAGCCTCCCAGCCTACATCTTGCACCTGTGCTGGATGCTTCCTGCCCTTGAACATCAGACTCCAAGTTACTTAGTTTGGGACTTGGACTGGCTCTCCTTGCTCCTCAGCCTGCAGACAGCCTATTGGACCTTGTGATCATGTGAGTTAATACTTAATAAACTCCTTTATATATATGGAATATATATATATATATAATTCTGTGCCTCTAGAGAACCCTGACTGATACAGATTTTGATACCAGGAGTGGTTCTAGAGGAATAGAATATTAAGGATGGAGCTTTTTCATTGGTTTTTGGGCTTCTGGAGTTGGCCACTTAATGTGATTAGACCCAAAAATGCTAAGGACTCTACTTTTAAGAGTATGAACACTGATAGTACTTGGCATGAACTGTTTAGAGAGTTATGCAAAATAAATGCATTTGACACTCCTGATTCATCGGTCATGAGAGGCAAGGAGTTTAGTGACTCTATACATAATACCTTTGACCATATGTGGAGAACCCAGGAACATAACGAAGCTGGTTGGTTCCTCCTGAGTTCAGTGGACAAAGTGATGAGAGAAAATGATAAACTTAAGGATTCTATCTCCTGGCTTCAGAAGCAGATATTGAGCCTCAAACCTGCTAAGATTGCCCTGAGTGAGAGTCTTATCTCCTGTAGAGAGAGAGCTAAAATTGTGGAAAAAACAGACACAATGTCTTATTGTGTGAGTGGCTGATGCAACAAAAGGTGCGTTCACAGCCTCTCCAGGTGTCTACTGTTAAAGTGAGGGCAATGATTGGAAAAGAATGGGGCCCTGCAACTTGGAATAGGGGCATGTGGGAGGACCCTGATGGAGCTGAGGACACTGAGTTTGTAAACTCTGATGAACCTCTTTTGACAGAAGAAACAGCTTCCCCATCCCCAGTAGTGGCAACATCCCCTTCCTGGCCCACGCTTCCGTCAGCCTTTCGGCTTTGTTTGAGGAGATACACCCTGCACTGCCTGAGGGAACAGTGATGGTCACCCCTGAGGCCGTTGCCAGGCAAGGTAATGTTGATTCTCCTCAGGAGCAACCCCCAACACCCCTGTTTGCTCCTAGACCTATAACTAGACTAAAGTATTGGTGGGCTCCTAAACATAAGATTGAGAGTGTGATCCATGAAGAGGTGCCTTACACTCAGAAAGAACTGCTTGAGTTTTCTGATTTATATAAGCAGAAACCTGAAGAATAGGCATGGAAATGGATATTAAGGATGTGGGATAATGGTAGAAGTAAGATAGAATTGAATTAGTCTGAATTTATGGATTTGGGCCCACTAAGTAGAGACCCTGCATTTAATGTTGCATCTCAGGGAGGTAAAAAAGGTTCGAATAGTTTATTTGCTTTGGTTAGCTGAAACTTGGATTAAAAGTTGGCCCACTGTGAGTGAGCTGGAAATGCCTGATCTCCCTTGGTTTAATATAGAGGAAGGAATCCAAAGGCTTAGGGACATTGGGATGGTGGAGTGGATTAGTCACTTTAGACCTATTCATTCCAGCTGGGATGGTCCAGAAGCTATACCCTTGACCAATGCCTTGTGAAATAGACTTGTGAGGGCAGCACCTGCATCTTTGGAGAACCCTGTAATTGCTCTTCTCTGTATGTCAGATCTAACCATGGGAACCACAGACACTCACTCAACTACAAAATTTAAATACAATAAGAATAATTGTAGGTGGCAAGGGCCAACTGGCAGCACTGAGCCATCAAAGGCAACGTGGGCATAGCTACTGTAATGGACAGTAGAGGCAAAGTGGCAATCAGAATAGTCTGACTTGTGTAGACCTCTGCATTGACTAATTAATCACAGTGTTCCTAGAAATGAAATTGATAGGAATTCTACTGCACTCCTACTTAATTTATATAAGCAGAAAACTTCTAGGTTGCATTGACAAAAGACAAGTTTGAATTATAAAAACAGAATCATGACCCCTTAATCAAGTTCCAGACATGAGTCAGTTTACAAGCCCAGAACCCCTTGAATGAAGGGGAGGCCAGGTCCCCTAGAGGAAGGACTATACTATATTACCGACAATTTATGCAGTAAATCTTTCTCCCATCCTTCCCCAAGGAAAGCTCTGGCCTTTTATCAGGGTAACTGTGCATTGGGGAAAGGAAAATGATCAGACATTTTGGGGACCAATGGATACTGTCTCTGAGCTGATGTTGATTCCAGGGTACACAAACCGTCATTGTGGTCTGCCACTTAAAGTAGTGGCTTATTGAGGTCAGTGAATTAATGGAGTTTTAGCTCAGGTCCAACTTCTAGTGGGTCCAGTGGGTCCCCAGACTCATCCTGTAGTTATTTATGCAGTGCCAGAATGTATAACGGGCATAGAAATACTTAGCAGCTGGCAGAAACCCCACATTGGCTCCCTGACTGGTAGGGTGAGGGATATTATGGTGGGAAAGGCCAAATGGAGGCCATTAGAGCTGCCTCTACCTAGAAAAATAATAAATCAAAAACAATATCACATCCCTGGAGGGATTGCTGAGATTAGTGCCACCATCAAGGACTTGAAACACATGGGGGTGTTGATTCCCACCACATCCCCATTCAACTCTCCCATTTGACCTGTGCAGAAGATAGATGGATCTTGGAGAATGACAGTGGGTTATTGTAAGCTTAACCAAGTGGTGACTCCAATTGCAGTTGCTGTACCAGAGTGCTTTCATTGCTTGAGCAAATTAACACATCTTCTGGTACCTGGTATGAAGCCATTGATCTCCATTCCTGTCCATAAGGCCCACCAGAAGCCATTTGCCTTCAGCTGGCAAGGCCAGCACTATACCTTTACTGTGTTACCTCAGGAGTATATAACTCTCCAGCTTTGTGTCACAATCTTATTTGGAGAGACCTTGATTGCTTTCCTCTTCTGCCAGATATCACACTGGTCCATTATACAGATGACATTATGCTGATTGAATCCAGTGAGCAAAAAGTAGCAAACAAACTGGACTTGTTGGTGAGACATTTGCATGGCAGAGGATGGGAAATAAATCCAACTAAAATTCAGGGACCTTCTAACTCAGTAAAGTTTCTAGGGGTTCAGTGAAGTGGGGCCTGTTGAGATATTCCTTCTAAAGTGAAAGATAAGTTGCTGCATTTGACCCATCTTACAACCACGAAAGAGCCACAATGCTTAGTGGGCCTATTTGGATTTTTGGATGTAACACATTCCTCATTTGGGAGTGTTACTCTGGCCCATTTATTGAGCGACCTGAACAGCTGCCAGTTTTGAATGGGGTCCAGAACAGAAGGCTCTGCAACAGGTCCAGGCAGCTGTTCTGCTGCTCTGCCACTTGGGCCATATGACCCAGCAGATCCAATGGTGCTTGAGGTGTCAATGGCAGATAGGGATGCTGTTTGGAGCATTTGGCAGGACCCCATAGGTGAATCACAGTGGAGGCCTCTAGGATTTTGGAGCAAAGCCCTGCCATTTTCTGCAGATTATTCTCCTTTTGAGAGAAAGCTCTTGACTTGTTACTGGGCTCCGCTGGAAACTGAATGTTTGACTATGAGCCATCAAGTCACCATGCTACCTGAACTGCCTATCATGAACTGAGTGCCTTCTGACCCATCTAGCCATAAAGTGGGTCATGCACAGCAGCATTCCATCATCTAATGGAAGTGGTGTATATGTGATCAGGCTCGAGCAGGTCCTGAAAGTACAAGGAAGTTACATGAGGAAGTGGCTCGATGTCCATGGTCTCCACTCTGGCCACCCTGCCTTCTCTCCAACAACCTGCACTGATGGACTCATGGAAAGTTTCCCATGACAGAGGGAGAGAAGACTAGGACCTATTTAATAGATGGTTCTGTGCACAATATGCAGGCACCATTCAAAAGTGGACAGCTGCATCACTACAGCCTCTTTCTAGGACATCCCCGAAGGATAGTGGTGAAGGGAAATCATCCCAGTGGGCAGAACTTCGAGCAGTATATCTGGTTGTGCAATTTGCCTGGAAGGAAAAATGGCCAGATGTGTGATTATATACTGATTCATGGGCTGTAGCCAATTGTTTGGCTGGATGGTCAAGGACTTGGAAGAAGCATGATTGGAAAATTGGTGACAAATAAATGTGGGGGAGAGGTATGTGGATGGACCTCTCTGAGTGGCCAAAAACTGTGAAGATATTTGTATCCCATGTGAGTGCTCACCAACAGGGTGACCTCAGTAGAGGAGGATTTTAATAATCAAGTGGATAGGATGACCCATTCTGTGGACATTACTCAGCCTCTTTCCCAAGCCACCCCTGTCACTGTCCAATGGGCCCATTAACAAAGTGGCCATGGTGGGAAGGATGGAGGTTGCCCATGGGCTCTGCAACATGTACTTCCACCCACCAAAGCAGACCCACTATGGCCTCTGCTGAGTGCCCAGTTTTCCAGCGGCAGAGACCAGTACTGAGCCCTCAATATGGCACCATTCTTTGGGGTGATAAGCCAGCTACCTGGGGGCAGGCTCATTATATTGGACCTCTTCCATCATGGGAAGGGCAGAGGTTTGTCCTCACTGGAATGGATACTTTCTTCACATATGGGTTTGCCTGTCCTGCATGCAATGCTTCTGCCAAGACTACCACCCGTGGACTCTTGAAATGCCTTATCCACTGTCATGGTATTCCACACAGCATTGTCTCTGACAAAGGCACTCATTTTATGGCTAAAGAAGAGTGGCAGTGGGCTCATGCTCACGGAATTCATTGTCTTACCATGTTCCCCATTATCCTGAGGCAGCTGGATTGATAGAATTGTGGAATGGCCTTTTGAAGTCACAATTACAATGCCAACAAGGTGACAATACTTTGCAGGGCTGGGGCAAAGTTCTCCAGAAGGCTGTGTATGCTCTGCATCAGCATCCAGCATATGGTACTCTTTCTCCCATAGCAAGTATTCATGGGTCCAGGAATCAAGGGATGGAAGTAGAAGTGGCACCACTTACCATCACCCCATGATCCACTAGCAAAATTTTTGTTTCCTGTTCCCATGACATTACATTCTGCTCTCCTAGAGGTCTTAGTTCCAGAGGGAGGAACGCTGCCACCAGGAGACACAACAACAATTCCATTAAATTGGAAGTTAAGATTGCCACCTAGACACTTTGGGTTCCTCCTACATTTAAGTTTACAGGCTAAGAAGGAGTTACAGTGTTGGCTGGGGTGACTGACCAGAACTATCAAGATGAAATCAGTATACTACCTCCTTATTCAGGTAAGGACAAATATGCATGGAATACAGGAGGTCCATTAGGGTGTCTCTTAGTATCACCATGCCCTGTGATTAAGGTCAATGAGAAACTACAACAGCCCAATCCAGGCAGGACTACAAATGATGCAGAACCTTCAGAAATGAAGGTTTGGGACACTCCGTGAGGAAAAAACAAAAAACAAACAAACAAACAAACAAAAAAAAAAAAAACCACACAACCTGCTGAGGTGCTTGCTGAAGGCAAAGGGAATACAGAATGAGTAGTAGAAGAAGGTAGTCATCAATTCCAGCTATAACCATGTGACCAGCTGCAAAAATGAGGACTGTAATTGTCATGAGTATTTCCTCCTTCTTTTGTTAAAAAATGTATTTGTGCATATATATACTTGTACTAAGAAAATATCTTCATTTTATTGTCTTTCTTTGTTATCATGTGACATAAGATTTATTGACTTCACATCAGCATTTAGGTATTGTTAACTTTATGTAATACTATTTGGGTTGAGGATTGCTGCATTTCTGGTTGTACGAAAGACAGTTGTATTATGTTAGGCATAATTATGACCTTATTACTCTCTTTACTTGAAGATTATGTATGATCTTCGAAGATGTGTATGGGTTGAAATGGACAGGAGTGGACCTGTGATGGTTAATATTGAGCGTCAATTTGATTGGCTTGAAGGATAAAAAGCATTGATCCTGGGTGTGTCTATGAGGGTGTTGCCAAGGAGATTAACATTTGAGTCAATGGGCTGGGAAAGGCAGACTCACCCTTTATCTAGGTGGGCAAAATGTAATCAGCTGCCAGCACAGCTAGAATATAAGTAGACAGAAAAATGTGAAAAGAAAGACTGGCCCAGCCTCCCAACCTACATCTTTTTCCCATGCTGGATGCTTTCTGCCCTAGAACATCAGATTCCAAGTTCTTCCATTTTGGAACTTGGACTGGCTCTCCTTGCACCTCAGCCTGTAGACAGCCTATTGTAGGACCTTGTGATCATATGAGTTAATAAACTCCCATATTTGTATATATATATATATATTCCATTGATTCTGTACCTCTAGAGAACACTGACTAATACAACAACAGTCCCCCAAAGTCTTAAAATATTTCAACATTAACCCAAAAGTCCACAGTCCAAAGTCTCATTGAAGACAAGGAAAGTCCCTTCCACCTATGAGCCTGTAAAATCAAAAGCAAGTTAGTTACTTCCTAAATAGAATGCAGATATAGGCATTGGGTAAATACAGCCATTCCAAGTGAGAGAAATTGGCCAAAACAAAGAGGCCACAAGCCCCATGCAAGACAAAATCCAGCAAAACAGTCAAATCTTAAAGCTTCAAAATGATCTCCTCTGACTACATGTCTCACATTTAGGTCACCTTATGCAAGAGGTGGGTTCCCATGGTCTTGGGCAGCTCCTTCCCTGTGGCTTTGCAGGATATAGCCCCTCTCCTGGCTGCTTTCATGGGCTGGTGCTGAATATCTGCAACTTTTCCAGGTGCACTGTACAACTTGTCAGTGGATCTACCATTCTAAGGTCTGGAGGATGGTGGCCCTCTTCTCACAGCTTCACTAAGCAGTACACCACTAGGGACTGTGTGTGGGGGCTCTGACCCCAAATTTCCCTTCTGCACTGCCCTAGCAGAGGTTCTCCATGAGGGCTCTGCCCCTGCAGCAAACTTCTGCCTGGGAATCCAGGCATTTCCATACCTCCTCTGAAATCTAGGCAGAGGTTTCCAAACCTCAATTCTTGACTACTGTGCACCTGCAGGCTCAACACCATGTGGAAGCTGCCAAGGCTTGGGGCTTCCACCCTCTGAAGCAACAGCCTGAGATGTACCTTGACCTCTTTTAGTCACGACTGGAGTGGCTGGGATGCAGGACACCAAGTCATTAGACTGTACACAGCAGAGGGAACCTGGGCCCAGCCCATGAAACCATTTTTTCCTCCAAAACCTCCAGGCCTGTGATGGGAGGGGATGCTGCCAAGATCTCTGACAAGCCATGGAGACATTTTCCCCCATTATCTTCGTAATTAACATTGACTCTTCATTAATTATGCACATTTATGCAGCTGGCTTGAATTGCTCCGTAGAAAATGGAATTTTCTTTTCTATTGCATTGTCAGGCTGCAAATTTTCCAAAATTTTACACTCTGCTTCTCTTATAACATTAAATGCCTTTAACAGCATCCAAATCACATCTTGAATGCTTTGCTGCTTAGAAATTTCTTCTGCCAGATGGGCAGATCACGAGGTCAGGAGATTGAGACCATCCTGGCCAACATGGTGAAACTTCATCTCTACTAAAAATACAAAAATTGGCTGGGTGTGGTGGCATGTGCCTGTAATCCCAGCTACTCAGGAGGCTGAAGCAGGAGAATCACTTGAACCAGGGAGTCAGACGTTGTAGTGAGCCAAGATTGCACCACTGCACTCCAGCCTGGCAACAGAGCGAGACTTTGTCTCATACAAACAAACAACAAAAAAGGAATTTCTTCTGCCAGATACCCTAAATTATCTCTCTCAAGTTCAAAGTTCCACAAATCTGTAGGGCAGAGGCAAAATGCCACCAGTCTCTTTGCTAAAACATAACAAGAGTCACCTTTGCTCCAGCTCCCAACAAGCTCCTCATTTCCATCTGAGACCACCTCAGCCTGGACATTATTGTCCATATCACTATCAGCATTTTGGGCAAAGCCACTCAACGAGTGTCTAGGAAGTTCCAAACTTTCCCACATTTTCCTGTCTTTTTCTGAGCTCTCCAAACTGTTCCAGACCCTGCCCATTACCCAGTTCTAAAGTTGTTTCCACATTTTTTGGGTATCTACAGCAGTGACCCACTCTACTGGTACCAATATCTATTTAGGGTCCTCTAGAGGGACAGAACTAATAGGAAATATATATATTTCACACAATATATATACTCCCACAATCACAAGGTCTCACAATAGGCTGTCTGCAAGCTGAGGAGCAAGGAAGCCAGTCTGAGTCCCAAAGCTGAAGAACTTGGAGTCAGATATTCGAGGACAGGAAGCATCTAGCATGGGAGAAAGATGGAGGCTGGGAGGCCAGTCTAGTCTTTTCACATTCTTCTGCCTGCCTTTCTTATTCTGGCTGTGCTGGCAGCTGATTAGACTGTGCCCGCCCAGATTAAAAGTGGGTCTGCCTTTCCCAGCTCACTGACTCAAATACTAATCTCCTTGGGCAACACCCTCACAGACACACCCAGGGTCAATACTTTGCATTCTTCAATCCAATCAAGTTGACAATCAGTATTAACCATCACAGTTACAGACTTTGAAAGTATCAAAATCTGGAATCAAACCAAGGCACTTAGACTGTGCTTGGAAGACAAGATAGAATTTCTATGGGAAGACAAGATCTCTGCAGACTGACCCTTATGGAGCTTGGGCATTTTGTCTAGGCTAGTGTTAGAGAGTAGCATAGTGCCAGCTCCTTCATTTCTCTCACCCTGGAACATTTCCATAATTAAAGGGTAAGTTTCTCTCTTGCAGTTCAAATTCAGAAAATTGACCCTCTACTGCACATAATTAGCAAAATATTGTCTTCAAGAATGTGTTTTCCACCCTAAATGTGTCTGCCTCATTTTGCTTTCAGAAGTTGGCTCATTAAGAAGGAACAGAGAGTACTTTTTGCTATGTCATCTTAGCCTCCAGGACAGCAACAAAATGAATGTAATCACAGGAAATGCAGGGGTTTACTGGAAAGTCTAAAAATGTAAATATAGACTTGGAGATGGAAATCCAGCACCATGTTGGAAGCATTTGAGATGAAAATTGAAAGATACAATAAATTTCTTTGTGTTTCTCTTCAAAGTTCAGCCTGTTAGCTTTCTTGTTCTTTGTTCTCAAACCTTACTTTCTGATTCTCCATGTCTCCTTGCCTCGGTTACTGTAAATAACCTTCCCATCAATGTTAATCAATAACTCACATCTGTTTCCTTGGTTACTCACTCTGTACCCATTCCACCCTTCAAAACCACATGTCAACCCTTTGAGACTGCATGTCACACCACTGTAACTCACCTTCCCCTTGCCCCTTCCTTATTTGGGAAAAAATATTCACAAGTAGCCAATCAGGTCAGTTTAGTTTGTGCAGTCTGATCCCAGCCCATGGGGGAGTGACACAGAGATAGGGTCTATGAGTTAAAGATAAAAACCCCTTCTTTCCTTTGTTTCCTGTGCTCTTGCCATTGCTCCATCTGTGAGACAACCCTTCTATAAAAGTAAAATTGTCTTAATGAGAAAATTTATGTTACAGTGCTATTTCTTTTACAGCACCGAAAATTTGTTTCTAACAAACTTCCCATACATTTTCTGCTTTCAGATAAGGATTTTGCCTTGATATATAATATAGTTAGAATATGTCCCCTCCAAATCTATGTTGATTTGTAATCCCCAATGTTGGATGTGGGGCCTGTTGGGAAGTGTTTGGGTCATGGGGGTGGATTCCTCATGGCTTGGTGCTGTCCTTGAGAAAGTGAGTGAGTTATTGTTCCCACAAGATCTGGTTGCTTAAAACTCTGTGGCTCCTCCTACCCTCTTGCTCCTGCTTTTACTATGTGAGGTATCTGCTCCTGCTTCACATTCTTCCATGAGTAAAAGTACTCTGAGATCTCCCCAGAATCCAAGCAGATGGTGGTGCCATGCTTTTATAGCCAGCAGAAACGTGAGGCAATCAAAATTCTTTTCCTTATGAATTACCCAATCTCATGTATTTCTTTATAGCAATGCAAGAACAGCCTAACACAGAAAACTGGTACCAAGGCATTGCTATAAAGATACATGAAAATATGGAATCAGCTTTGGAACTGGGTAACAAGCAGAGTTTGAAAGAGTTTGGAGGGCTCAGATGAAGATAGGAAGATAAGAGAATGTCTGCCACTTCTTAAAGACTGGTTAAATGATTGTGACTAAAATGCAAATAGTAATATGGATAGTGATATTCAGGTTGATGAGGTTTGAACTTGAGAGTAATGACCCAGAATATCTGGTGGACATAATTTCTAAGCATGAAAACATTCAAGATGTGGCCTGGCTCTTTCTAACAACCTATACTCAGATGCAGGAGCAAATAAATGATTTACCTTTGGAACTTATATTTAAACAGAAAGCAGAGCATAAAAGTTTGAAAAATTTGCAGGCTAGACATGTGGCAATGAAGGACAAAGCTTTTTCAAGAGAGGGATTCAAGCAGGCTGCGGAGCAACCACGTACTAGAGATTTTACATAATTAAAGGGGAGTCGAGTACTAATATCCAAGATAATGGGAAAAAGGCCTCAAAGGCATTTCAGAGACCTTCACCACAGACCCTTCCATCATAGGCCCAGAGGCCTAGGAAGGAAGAATGGTTTCCTGGGCCAAGCCCTGCTGCCCTGAACAATGTTGGAACACTGCTCCCCACATCCTGGCTGCTCCACCTCCTACCAGGGCTCAAAGGGACCCAGGTAGAGTTTGAGCTGCCACTTTGAAGAATGCAAGCCAAAAGCCTTGGTAGCTTCCATGTGGTATTAAGCTTGTGAGCGCAAAGAGTGCAAGAGTGAAGGCTTCACCAACTGCACCCAGATTTCAGAGGATGTATGAGAAAGCCTGAGTGCTCAGGCAGAAGCCTGCCACAGAGGTGAAACCCTCACAGAGTACCTTTGCTAAGATAGTGTGGAGGGGAACTATGAGGTTGGAGTCCTCACACAGAGTTTCCACTGGGGCACCATCTAGTGGAGCTGTGGAAAGGAGGACATCATCCTCCAGAACCCAGAATGGAAGCTCCACTGGCAGGTTTCAGCCAGCACCTACCTGGAAAAGTTGCGTGCAGTCAATGACCTGTGAGAGCAGTCATGGTGCTGAACCCTGCGAAGACGTAGGGGTGGAGCTGCTCGAGGCCTTGGGAGCCTATTCTTTGCACCAGTGTGCCCAAGATGTGGGACATGAAGTCAAAGGAGACTACTATGAAGCTTTAGGTTTCAGAATTGTGTGAGGCCTGTAGCCTCTTCCTTCTGGCCAATTTCTGACTTTTGAAATGGGAATTTGTAGCCAATGTTGGTACCTCCATTATGTCTTCGAGGTAAGTAACTTGTTTTGATTTTACAGGCTTGTAGGTAGAATAAACTCATCTCCAGATAAGACTTTGGATTTGAACTTGGGACTTAGAACTTTTGAGTTTATGCTGGAGCAACTTAAGACTTTGAGGGACTGTTGGGAAAGTATGATTGTATTTTGCAATATGAGAAGGACATGCATGAGGTTTGGAGGGACCATGGACAGAATTATATAGTTGGAATATGTGCCCTACAAATTCTCATGTTGAATTTGCAATGTTGGGCTTGGGCTTGGTGGGAGGTGTTTGGGTAATGGGAATAGATCCCTCATGGCTTGGTGCTGTCCTTGAGATAGTGAGTAAATTCTCAGGAGATCTGGTTTCCTGAAAGTGTGTGGCTCCTGCCCACCCCCTTGCTCCTGCTTAAGACAAGCGAAGTGCCTGCTCCTGCTTCACTTTCTGCCATGAGTAAAAGCTCCCTGAGGCCGCCCCAGAAGCTAAGCAGATAGCAACACCATGTTTCTGCAGCCTGCAGAACCATGAGCCAATTAAACCTTTTTTCTTTATTGAATTATTCAGTCTCAGGAATTTTTTGAAAGCAATGAAAGACTAGCCTAATGCAATGTACTGGCTATCAAATATTTCAGTAGGTTAGTTCATGTGTGAACTGCAGGAGGACCATGAGACAGACAATCATGGTAACTAGTTTCAGGACCCAATTCAGCCCTGCAATAGCAGTACTCTTAGGCAATTAAGTGCTTCAATGTATCAGTCTCCTTACTTTTAAAATGGGGATGAGAAAAAAACATGATGCTGACATGTTTTTGAGAGTCATAATGAGATTTTACATGTAAAAATACTAAACAAAACTGTATGGCACCATAGCAATGCCAACTGGTATGTTTCTATTACTGATAACTATTACTAGTACTATTTTTAGTATAGTATGATTATTACTAGAACGATTATTAATACTAAAGTACATAGTGGCTATTTAATGTGATGTAAGACTTTAATTACTAATGAGACATGACCTCATCTATTCTGCAGCCACCTCACTGGGGGTCATTGGACAGAGGAATGTTTTGAAGGAGGGCAGTGGGCTCAGTACGGCTTGTTTTACAGAAATAGACCCCCAAGACAGCAGTGAGCATCATATCCATGCTTTGTCAAACTTCTCTGTGGAATTTGTCCCTGAGCCTGGATGCTGTGTTCATCCTATGAAATGCCTAATCCACAGGAGTTCTCAGGGGCTCTGGTCTGCTCTTTCCCCAGCAGGCACAGGCACTAATGGGGTTCTTTCATTCCCCACTCATGTTCCACAGGTTAGTACATCCAGAGATATTAGCTTTGCATCTGTGGCCTCTGCCTAGAACATATGCTATTTGTGTTCCTGAGAAATGGTATCATTCTGCAGTGAGCCCTTCAGCACAGAAATTGATGTTTGCCTGCTGAGCATACTAATGTCCCTTGGTTTTTCTATCTGTGTTTATTCTGGAGGATGTATGGATCAAGGTCTGAAATTCACACAGAGAGACTCATCTGCTTTCTGACAGTCTCAAAATTGTTGCTACAACAATCACACTTATATTACACTAGCAAGTGTGCTGATGGTAGAAAAAGAAAGATGATATTTTTCCTGGGGACCATTCCTATCTGAAGCTTGAGAAAAAGAGTGTTTGACTTGCAAACCACAAACAAAAGACCCTACGTGAGCAAAACCAGTTGTTTTGATTTTTCAATAAGTCTTTTATCCTTGGCCATAATGCATGAATGAAAGTATAGAAATGCTGCTCACCTAGATTGACTGCCCAGGGAGGAGAGTGAACAGCACACACCATGTTCCTCCTGCAGATGTGAACACATGGGCCATGAGGTGGAGGCTCTTAAAACAGCTGGGCTGGGTCTTCCTGCTCCCACTCCTCACAGACCATGCACAGATCCAAAGAAAATGCAATTTTGTTGGGTGCAGTTTTGTGGAGGAAACCTTTCTCTCTCTTAAGCAACCTATGGGTCATGCAGTAATGAGCACTGTTTACACCATAATGAACTTTCAGTGAGCAGGCACCTCATACCCTCAAGCATTTACAATTGCTTAGAAACAGAAATGAATAACATACTTCACTCTAACAAAGTCACATAGGACAGAAGGGCACAGAATCAAATATCAATGCCATCATGGGGTAAATACTTTAACAAGAGTGTGCACAGACTATTACTGGGGCACTGTATTAGTCCATTTTCATGCTGCTGATAAAGACATATCTGAGACTGGGTAATTTATAAAGAAAAAGTGGTTTAATGTTCTCACAGTTCCACATGGCTGGGAAGGCCTCACAATCATGTCAGAAGGCAAAAGCCATGTCTTACATGGCGGCAGACAAGAGAGAATGAGAACCAAGTGAAAGGGGTTTCCCCTTATAAAACCATCAGATCCTGTGAGACTTATTCACTACCATGAGAACAGTATGGGGGATACTGCCTCTATGATTCAATTATTTCCCACCAGATCCCTCACACAACACGTGGGAATTATGGGAACTACAATTCAAGATGAGATTTGGGTGGAGACACAGCCAAAACACATCAGGCACTGAGGAGGAAGTGATCACTTCTGCTATGGGAGTCTCAAAGCGCTTCATGAGCAGGTGACGTTTTATGCAGGTTTTGATAGATGAATGGAGTTTTCCATGTGGGGAAGAGAGCAATGGTGGCATAAATATTTGCATGTAGAAATGCATGATGTTGTGGCAAGGCTTGCCATATTCTGGGGAGCCATATAAGAAAAACGTGTCAGCTCAGCAGATATTTGCTTTGGGGAATGGCCAGAGAGGAATTGGAGACTAGGTAAAATTTGAAGGCCTTATAATACCCTTCTAACAAGTTTATGCTTTATTCTATGCACAAGAGGAGACAACAAAAATATTTACATGCAGAGTGGCATGATCAGATTGCTTTTTAGGAAGGGATTTCTCATGGTAAGCCTAGAAACACAGCTCTGGAGCAAGTTAGGAAGACTTATAATAACCTAAGGAGTAGAAACAGTGATGGGATGGATAAAAGGAACAGTACCTAGAATTCTGCATTAAAAATGACAAGATTACATGAATGTGAAAAGGCATGAGTAGGGCTTTGATATGAGGGTTATTGAATATCCAGAGTTGGAGGTTGATGGATGGAGGTACCATTAACCAAGATAATAAACCCAGGAAGAATAGGTGAGGATTTTAAAGCATATGATCACAAAGTGAGGCTTAGATGTGTCTTTATTGCTTTCCATTCAGGACACAGGCAGAGGTGACACCTGGAGCTAATGCATTATCAACACACATGACAGACTGGGAAATTGAAGGTTTTCTGTTGTGTTTAGCACAGAGTCCACAGGAAAAGAAAATGGTGGTGACTGTCATGGGTAGCTATTAGGGACAGATTGTGAAAGGCCATTGAAGACAGAAACTCTGTCCATTCATAAATGGAGCTGGCAGAATCTTGAATAAGTATTATGGCAGCAGAAAGAATGAATATGAGTATCATTTCATTCTTTAAAAAATGGCAAGAATATGAACAGGAGAGATGAGTCAAGAATGACTCCAAGTTTTCAAGTATGGCCAAAGAATGTGGCTGACATGCATTTTGTTATATGGCATTAGTATAATTTAGTGAATGTAACCATTAAGAAGTATAGTAATGTATGACTACTGAGTGGGTCAAACTTACAGCAATGCCATATATCTGGAACGCATGCATTCTACATAAAGGAGAAGGTCTGCCGAGCCATTTGACTGCCATGAAGTCAACACACTTCATTCAATAAGCTAGATATGGATAAAGCAAACTAAAAGACAGAACACTAACAGACAGCAACAGGTACACTGGACATCAAAGGTATGATTCAGAGAAGATACTTAAATCCCGAAGAATCTGAGAATAGGTGGTCAAAGGGAAGTAGTCCAACATCTTTCAGTAGCCCATGATAGTAGCCCTGTGAATTGTCCATATTTAAAATGGAGATAAAGACCTCTCACAACATTGATTAAAAATATAGACATATGTACAATAAATGTTGGAATTACTTTCATAAAAACTGTTAATATTGTATTAAATGCCAAAATTTTAGTTACTGAAAATATTTTAACATACCTAAATAATCTCTTTGCCAAATAATGCTGGACAAATAGGTGAAAACTGTATTAGTAAACAGAAATACTCTATGTGGAGAAATAAAAATAGCAGATATAACTTACTTTTCCTTTACTAGTCTTTCAACTGAAATTTCTTCCATAGCTTTAAATTATAATGCCACTTTGATTTTAAAAATATACAATAATTAATATAATCAATTATATCTGCTATTCATTTGGGATCTGTTTATTCAAACTCTGCACTCTATTGAATTTCACTCACTAAAAATAGAAACTATGTCACAACACACACAAGAAATAAAACAATGGTAATGGATGTAACTCTTACCTCAGGATACACATGCTAATGTGGGCAGTTAAGCTATTTTCTAGACCTTTTATTCACATTATAGCAATATACTTCTTTATAACCACAATAGTCTTATGATCATTGTTGTTATTACTTCAATTTCCAAGAGTTGTTGGTCTGTTTGTTTTTTTGTTATCATTCACTACTTACTTACCATACAGAGTTTTAAACATCAATATTTTATTTTGGAAGACTGGTAGCAGGAACAGTCATTTGCTCTCAAACTTTTTAGTAAAAATTGAATTACATAACATTTTCTACAATAATATTCTTAGAATTGTCTGCTTTAAGAATGAACATTTTTGAAATATGAACTTAAGTGGACTGGAAAATCTCTCTGTACCTAAAATTAGGGTTCTAGGCAGGGGGTTATACCTGACAGGAGGTATCTTAGTCAGTCTGGGCTGTTATAACAAAGTATCAGTCACCGAGTGACTTAAACAACAAACATTAATTTCGTACAGCTCTGGAGACTGGGAAGTCCAAGATCAAGGCACTGGCAGATCCGGTGTCCTGTGAGGGCTGCTTCTTGCTTCATAGCTGATTGATTGTCTTCTTTCTGTGTCCTCATGTGGCAGAAAGGGGACAGGAGGCCTCTCTGGGGTCTCTCATGATTCTACCCTATTGACCTAATTACCTTCCATAGGCCCCACCTCCTAATACCATTACAGTGAGAGTGAGGATTAGAAAACAGGAATTTTGGAGGGACACAAACATTCAGTCCATAAAATCAGGCCAGTCAAAATCTAGGATTAGATATGGGTAGGAACTGGGCTATCCACTTCCACTGTCCATAGTTAAAGTTTTAAGGTGTAAACTAACACAATAAATACTTTTTCTTTTGTCTTCGGGTTTTTTGTTTTTGTTTTGTCCAATGGCTAATCCATCCAATCATGTTAAGATATTAAGTCATTGTTATAAAGCAACAAAGTAAGTGCTGGGGTGGAAATTGAATGTTAGCTCAGATGAGATGTACCGGGGGCTTTCTAGGAAAGCATTATGTTATATTGGAAGTGTCATAGGCTGTGTGTCCTTTTCAACTTTATTAAATTTATTATTTTAACTTTAATAAATTTCATTTTTCTCACCTGTAAAATGGAAATAATAAAAACTACAGGACAATGTTGTGAAAGTTAAATACAAGAATAAAGATAGACAATAGCTGACTCAGAGAAGGTAACAAATAATGTGGATCTCTAGCCTTTTTCCCTTAAGATATATGATGGTTAATATTGAGTGTCAACTTAATTGGATTGAAGGATGGATGTATATGCAAAGTATTGTTCCTGGGTGTGTCTGTGAGGGTGGTGACAAAAGAAAATTACCATTTGAGTCAGTGGACTGAGAGAGGCAGAACCACCCTCAGTCTGGGTAGGCACCATCCAATCTGCTGCCAGCATGGTGAGGATAAAGCATGCAGAAGAATGTGGAAGGACTAGACTGGCTGAGTCTTCTGGCCTCCATCTTTCTCCCATGATGGATGCTTCCAGCCCTCGAACATCAGACTCCAAGTTCTTCAGCTTTTGGACTCTTGAACTTACACCAGTGGTTTGCCAGAGGCTCTCAGGTCTTCGACCACAGACTGAAGGCTACATTGTCGGCTTCCCTACTTTTGAGATTTGGGGACTCAGACTGGCTTCCCTGCTCCTCAGCTTGGGGATAGCCTATTTTGGGACTTCACCTTGTGATCGTGTGAGTCAATACTCCTTAATAAACTACGCTTCATGTATACATATATCCTATTAGTTCTGTCCCTATAGAGAACCCTGACTAATACAAGATAGAAGAGTTGTCCAGGTCATGATTCTATAGTCCAAGGCACTCAGGAACTCACAGAATTTCTAACCTCTTGTAGGCCCTTGTTTTTGTGTCAGATCTCAAACAGTTAATGTACTGGAAGACTTGAGGACAGAATTCCTTGGTAGAATCATTGCTGTGGGGCTGCATTCCTTGTCATCCCTGGATTCCTATCTTGCTAGTGGCAATAGAGTATCTGTTTTTCTTCCTAAAGCCTAGAACACACTAAAGTAAAGCAAAATATTCTTAGAAAGACAATTGGAGCAGTTTCAGAGTCCCTGGTCACTCAGCATCCCGGGTGCTTCTGTGACTCAGGGCAGATACTAGCAGGAGGTTAGGACTGAGGGTCCTTACTACAACCTAAGCTGGCCACAATAAAGTCAGATGTTTCACTCCCAATGAAACAGGTGCAGTTTCCAGAAAATGGCCAGCAACATGGCAGAGTGTATCCAAACATTCCTAGCTAGCTTTCAGAGGAAAAAGTTAAACAGGAAACAAGAGCAAACTTGACTTGCTTCTCAGAGCTGGGTGAGTATGGAGTGTCCTTTCTTCGCAGATGAAGAGGGTGAGCAGAGAAGAGAGAAAATCTCATCAGGCAAGATTTCCAGCCAACTGCTTCTTGCCAAAAATCTAGATTATAACCCAAATTTCCAAAGACAAAAGAGTTCCAGGCCGCAGTGCCTAAGTTAGAGAAATCCAAGGGCCATTGCTATGCTGTTGGTGATTGCAGCCCACTTTTACCACACCTTAGCATGAGTGAGTTTTCTGTTACAGATTGAAGACAGAATTTGCAAGAAGAAGAAGATACAGAAACCCACAGGAGTGGCTGAGTCAAATCTGATGGGACATAAATCCTAAAGTTATAGATTGGCCTACCTCTAGGGTCTCTTTGATTGTGCCCTGCAGTTTCCCTGTTGTCTCCCCTCATCCAGGTACATGAGTTTTGCCTTGCAGATGAGTTTTGTTTTTGTTTTTGGTTTTGCCTTGTTTTCTTGTTATAAGCGCTTCTAGATGAGAATAGCCATTATACTCTCAAACAAGTCATAAAGCTACAAACTTTGCAGCCTGAGATTCACTAACCTTGAAGGTTTACAGCAGAAATGTCATGAAAAACAGACAACTTCTGGTGTATGAGTATAATCCTATTTTAATTGATTGTGTGAAGATCTATTTACTTTTCCTAGGTAAAACGAAAGATTACTCTACCTTTAGGCACTTGGCTTCTTCTCAGGAAACCAAGGGATTGCTTTCTTTAAAGGGCCATTTCGGCCTGTTAAAAATATCTTGCCTGATGCATGGATCCTTGGATGGTGAATAGGACAACTTCTACCCTCATTTACTGTGTGTGTGTGTGTGTGTATACAATTTATATATAATATTATATATTATATTATATATATTATATATTATGTATAATATACATTATATATATTATATATAATATAATCATATATTAGATGTGTTCAGGTGTTGAAAATGTGAAGCATGTGTGAGTTTTCTAAGTATGTTGTTTTACCTAATTTAGCATTTATTATTTTATATAGGAAAAATGACATAGATATTTAATGTTTGTCTATTTCTATTTTGCATTGTGAACTATTCTGGTAGAGAATATCATTTTGAATGTTTTACCCTCAATGCCTAGCAGAGCTCCAGATGCATTGAAGGTATTTAATAAATTTGTGGTAAAAAGGAAAATGGGAAGAACATAAGAAAAGAGAAACAACAGATTGATACAAGAAGGTGGGGTCAATGAAATGTGTATGTCATGCTTTTTCTTCAGTTGTTTAGGTCTTTGAATACTGTAGAACCTTTTATTTAAAAAAAAAAACCTTAAATTTGTGTAATTTATTTGAAAGACTTAGTATGTAAAAACAATGATCTTAAATTGCTGTACCAGCTTATAGATTTTTAAATGTGCTTTTTTTAATTTCAACAAGTAAAACAGTGGAAGAACAAGTTTGATATTTTGTAAGATAATTTATCGAAGGATGCAAATTTGGTGTTAGACACTTACGTAGTTTTCCCTTTGTCTTTGTTATATAAGTAACTTTTCACTTGTTTGATGATTGCTAAGACAGTGTGCTAGAATGTAGATGCCTTGCCCAGCTGTCTGAAACAAAACTCAAATCTAAAAGTTTATATGTGTGCATCAAAAAAATACAAAGAATTGCTATGATAGTTCTTGTGTGTTTAGTTTTTTTCACTGTATTATATTCTCTCACTTGCTATGATGTATGCTTAAAATCAAAGCTAGAAAGAGAGAGTTCCTTCAATAAACATTAACCATTCCAGTGGAAAGTCACACAAATCAGAGGCTCCTCCTCTTCCTCGTCTCCTCCTCCTCCTCCTTTTTCCCCTCTTCCACCTCCTCCTCCTCCTTTTTCTCCTCTTCCTCCTCCTCCTCCTTGTTCTCCTCCTCCTCCTTGTTCTCCTCCTCCTCCTTTTTCTCCTCTTCCTCCTCCTCCTTGTTCTCCTCCTCCTCCTCCTTGTTCTCCTCCTCCTCCTTTCTCCTCTTCCTCCTCCTCCTCCTTGTTCTCCTCCTCCTCGTTCTCCTCCTCCTCCTTGTTCTCCTCCTCCTCCTTGTTCTCCTCCTCCTCCTCCTCGTTCTCCTCCTCCTCGTTCTCCTCCTCCTCCTTGTTCTCCTCCTTCTCCTCCTCCTCATCTCCTCCTCCTCCTTTTTCTCTTCCTCCTCCTCCATGCATGATGGGATGGAAGTCCTCCTTTGACATGTGCAAGGATCACATGTTTACGTGCTACCCTGATTTAACTCAGGACAGGGCTTCTTCAACATCTGAGTTATCTTAACCTCAAAGAGACAAAGTAGATGTCGTTAAGTTTGAACCTTTCCTTCAGGTGAGGAGCTCTCCTGGTTTCCACTGTAGCATATCTCTCTCTCTCACAAACACACACACTCCACAAACACACACATCCATGTACAGTAACCCATCTGCCACTCAGTCACATGGCCACATCCAAACACACACACACCTTATGGTTATAAAGATTTTCCCTCAAATTATCACACTCTTCCTGATGTTGCTCTCCAGGAAGTAACGAAAGGCCACTTCGTTTCTCCCTGTGGGTGCCTGCATAGGTTCTTCCTCCAGGCTGCAGTTGCCTTTGACCCTTCTCTGCCTACTGAAAGCTGATTTAACTTAAAAGTGACAAACCAGCTGTTGAATGGTTAAGGACACTGTCCCTCATTGCCTACTCAATATGAGTCAATCGCAGGCTCCCCCATGCTCCCATATGAGATTTCTCCATCACTCTGCATTTGGGAAATGATTCAGGATTCCCTTGACCTTGTATAATGGTTAGATATTTGCACGCCTGATAGTAGTGCCCTTAGGAGATAACTTCCCTTTCTCTGGTACGTTTCAATGATTATCATTAAATTTAATCATAGAAAAGAGAAATGTAAGATGTAAAAATAAAAGTTACCTTCCCCCATTCAGCTGCTGCCTATTGCCATTTGGGGGCCTATAGCCTCTCAAATAAGAATGTTTGTGACTCCCAATAATCTTAAGAAAACCTAAATCACTATTTTGGGAAATGCCATTGCAGAGTTTTGGAGGCTTTTTCTTTCCTCCTCCATCATCCCTGTCCCTTCCTTCCTCAACGATTCAATCTTAAAGCTTGTAGGCAATGCCATGGGAGGTCATCCAGGTAGGTGGAAAGAATGGCAGCTGTGTAGCTCAGAGCCACTCTCAGCGTCTGAAGATGGGGAGGAAGGCACCAGTCAGGGCAGGTCTCAGAGACTGAGGTGGGTAAAGAGGATGTCAAGGAGGAAGGTGGATGCCCGCCCAAGAGTGGTGGACTGGATTCATGCATGGAAGGATTGGCGGAAGTGACTGGAGGTCAGTTCCACACAAGAGGATTGAGCAAATAACATTGTAAAATAACTATATGTTTCTAGCAGAATGGAAGTTGGATTTCTCACTGTTGAAAAGGGAATTGCAAACATGGAAAGACTGGGGGTGGGGTGGAAACCAGAATGAATCCTATAGAGTTGGACTGGAATCAGAATTATCTGTGCAGACTCCCAAGTCTTTTACATATAAACATAGAGATAGATCTGGAAATGCATACAACTGTAAATGTGTATATGTGTGTGTCAATATGTACATACTCTCTGGCTGTGCCCACTGACAAGGCCTGAACTCAGGAAGGCACCTGAAGCCTTGGGCACAGATAATGCCAGGCTTTAATTATAAATGTAAGTTTCTGCTAAAAAAAAAATCAGGGCCAAAAAGGGAAGTGGGAGGGGAGTTTAAAGGGAAGTTGGATAATGGGTGCAAAAACACCGTTTAGATCACAGAAAAAAGTTTCAGTGTTCAATAGCACAATAGGGGAATAAAAAGAAATCAGGGATTCTCAGAGAAACAGCTGATCAGGGAAAGAACAAAATCAGCCTGAAACATCTTGTACCAGCAAGTAATGAGGTTCTTAAAAAAGGATAGGAACATGTCAAATGGATGCAGAAGCCAGCATGAAGTGTTGGCGATATTATGATGTGATATAAACATGACGGAAATTTGAACATCAAAATAAAGGCTGACAGTAATGGTTTATAATCCATTGACTAAAATGGAAAATACAAGTTCCTACTGATAAATAAATAAGTAAATAACTTACATGTTTGTTAAGAAACAGAATATTTATAGTGTCAAAGCACCACCCCACAGCATATTTATTCATTACAAAATATGAAAGAGTGAGTTAAAAATGGAGAAGCCTGAGAGACACCCCCTTGATCAGGTGATGAAAGTTAACCTCCTGAGTAGCAGGAGGGGTCCAAGCTTGTGCTGGCATTTAGGGTGCAGTGAGAGCAGAACGTCACTTCTGTGATTTTCCTGCCAAAGATTCAGACCTGCACACCATCATGAGCAAATATCAGATGGCTCCAAACCAAGAGTCATCCTGTAAAATAACAAATGCACAGTCTTCAAAAACGTTAAGCTTATATAAGCCTGGGGAGTTGTTTTAAGTTGTAGGACAGGAATGCAATATTGCAACTAATAGCATGTCCAACTCTGAAATAGATCCTTTTCTGTAAAAGACATTTACAATGATTGGTGTTGAGTTAGATGGCAGGACTATATCGACACAAGTTTCCTGATCCCATGGCTGTGTCATGGTTATGTAGGAAAATAGCCCTGTGTATACAAAGAATACACTACACACCCCAGGGTGATGAAGGATTCAGTTAAAAATTTATCATCAAATAATTTTTAAAACTATCTGTAATTTTTCTGTAAGTTTGAAAGTGATTCAAAATTAGCAGAATAATACAAGGACATAAAAGATGACTATGGTTTAACTGCTCAGTGATAGCTTTATTGCTCTTTTAATTTATATAATTCAGATATATAATAGGTACTTACTAAAGGTTTACCAAAGTAATAAATGAATTAGTAAATAAAGGAAAAATTTACTCACATTTTATAAACTTTCTGTTACAAACTTGCCTTTTAAATATTTCTGACTGTATCCTTTTAAATTTTGTCAGCATTGTAACTATTTACATAAGATTAAAATTAAGTTTCCCCACTGTGTTTATGAAATTTTCTGGCATACTTCTATATAAACAGTATAAATTATTAGAAATTCAGCTGCAGGCAACAACATTTTGAGTGTGCTGGTTAAACATATTGACTCTTATTATCTCCCCTAGCAAGGAAGCCAAAGGCTAAGGGGCTCTGGAGTGGGCTGGCTACTCAGCTCTGCCACAGCATCCGGGTCCAGAACGCTTCCTTCTTCCTCCTCACCCTCTTCCACATGCTCGCTTTTGGCCATTGCTTTGTTCCCTGATGGCCGCCACAGCTCCAGGCATTTCCCCATCATACAGCCATATGTATTCATAAAAAGAAAATTCCCTTCACATGACTCTTTTTAAGAGTGAAGAAGATGCTTCTCAGAAGAGATCTCGGGTGCTGTCTCCTCATGCACTAGAATTTTCATAAGCTTTGCTTCAAAGAAGTATTAGCAGAGACATCACCATAATTGGTTTAAAACAATCAAAATTGACACTGAAGTCTGGTGGTGGTGCTGGGGAGCATTTTTTCCCCTGGTTACGTGACCATACTAAAGGTGGATAATGTAAAAAATAAAAAAAATTTTAAAAAGTGAGGCTCTATTAGCAAAATATAAGAAAATGGCAGCAAAGCATTTGGAGAGACAACCAACATTTTTGTAACAATGGGTAAAATGGCACTGGTAAATAAGAGGAAAGTGAATATGCATGGAAAACAATGAAACCTGAGGTGATCATCGGATAATCTCTACTACCGCCTTTGTAGCCAAGAATCTCTTTTGCTTTGTCAGATGTGCACTTTTTCTGTTATGATTTCAACAGAAAGAACACACAAACACACAGGCACACACACACACACACACACTGTTTCATATCACCATTGTAGAAGAATACGTGCCTTTTCCAAATAATTTATCTTAACCTTTGGTAGTCTCTGCTATTTTCCTCCAAATTTCAATACATGATACCAATAAAGATTTCAGAAAGATAGGACATTGGTCAGTTGTTATTTAAAAGTAGCTCACTTGAAAAGCAACAAACAAAGTATATTTGTATTAATAATTTTTGGGGCAGAGGGGACAGAGCAAAGCAATTTGAAAATGTGACTTTATCAAGTGCCAACTCTGTATCAGCCCCTGAGACGGATGGAGCTGTAAGCCTGGTTACATGCACACTGGGACACTGAGTGCCCAGCATAGTGCGTAAAATACAGCTGAGCACCAATACATACTTACTAAATAAATCACTTCTGTTAATATTTATAATGACTGAAGCTCATTATCCCAGGTCCCATTTTACCAAGGAGGAAATGAGATTTCGAGAGATGGATTAATATGACCTATGACCCACATTTGACACAGGTCAGGGCCAAAAAGCTGGCTTTTTCTTACAGTTTTACAGTTTTGAAATCTGACACTGATTTCACTGGACTAAAGCCAAGGTGTTGGCATGGTGCCTTCCCTTCTGGAGGCTGTATGGAAGATCCATTTTCTTGCCTTTTCAAGCATTTAGAGGTCACTTTTCTCGGTTCATTGTCCCCTTCCTACACCTTCAAATTCAGAAATGCAGGGCTGATTTCTCACGCTGCCATCTCTCTGTTTCTCTCTTCCTTTTAAGGACACATGTTCTTACATTGGTGCTACCCAGATAATCCAGGATAATCTCCTGTTTTAAGGTCAGCTGATTAGCAACATTAATTCTATATGAAATGTTAATTTCCCTTTGCCATGGGACCTAACCTATTCATTGGTTCTGGGAACTAGGACATAAATATCTTGTGGGGAGGGCATGATTCTGCCTACCGCACTCTCATTCTATCACTGCTATCAGGAAAGTTCCAATCTTCACAAGCATACATGATCAAAGTATCTATTGACAAGATTTGTAATCATATAAATCCTTCTCTTTATCTGGTCTGCATTCCATTTGATAATAACAAAAAAGCAAGAACAGAATCCATGTTCAAATCCTCTAGGGGCTTTCCTCATAGTTGTAAAAACAATATTATATTTTCAAATAAAACAGACAAAAATATACCAAGAAGTACCTAATTGTGTGGTATAAGCAAAATAAAATATTAAAATTCGAAGAGAGTGCTCAGTGAAGGTTGACTTGTCCCAGGAACTTGTTACCATTTTCACCAGCTCTTCAAACAAGCCTTTTCACGTGTCGGCTCTGCTTTTCTAGGCTACTCTGAGTAACACAAAGCGTCTAGGACTGTCTAGAATCAGGCATGCTACCGTGTCACCGTCTACTTATAGCTGTGACCTCTTCCTTTTAGCAAGAGTACCATTTTGATTGGTCTGCCAAAGACTTGTCTTCACAAATGTATCTGATGAGATGAGAACAAATTGAAGGAAAATCTATCAAACTTATACCAACAGATTACTACGATGCTGAAAGAGCCCTTGCTATTGTATGGTGACATCATAGTCTGCATCTGCAGTGTTTAGGTGACCTCTGCCCTCCCTCTGCAAGGCGTCGTGGGAGCAGGATGCGTGCACCCTGGAGAACGGCATGTGCCATGGCAGGTGCCAGCGCAGCACCAGACCCCAGGATTGCAGTCAGGAAATGGGAAGTTTCATTTTATATCCCCTTGAGAACACATGCCATTGATAAGAAACCTAAATTCAACAGTGACTATTTTTTCTTTTATATATATTTTTAATGATCTACCAGGATAATTTTGAGGTATAAAAACAAGAAAACTTGGAAAAACGCTTTTCATTTCACAAAGTAAAGAAGCAATACACTGGAAAAGCACAAAATTATTTATATGAAAATTCTCAAGAAGTATGAGAATATTTTTGATATTTTGGTTCATTTTCATGGACCAAGATATACATTTGTTAAAGAAATAGAAATTTCACCTTTAATGACACTAATCACTATTCTGAGGCCGAGGGCTTTGGTGGAAGGGCTGAGAAGAACATGTTGAAAGCCACTGAGAAAATGCCTGGGTAGAGAATAGGTTCATCAATCCAATCATTCCTACAAAATAACTTTTGTAAGTGCCAAACTGTGTGTATTGAAATGAGCATCAGGAAAGCAAAATATACATAATGTCTTTAAATCTAATGCCGTACATACATAAAAATAAATGCAGCAACAAATTATATGTGCAGTTACGTCTCCAAAAACAAGTGATCATTTCTAATGGGATAAATAATAAATGGCTTTGTAAGAATAATTCTGTTTAATTATTTAGCCCTGGAAAGTACATGAAAATAAAACTTAATATATACCGAGCATTTCAATAGGCACTATGTATGCAATGGAGATAAAAAAATTATATTCTATGTCCATATGAGCCTTACAATATAGGAAACTATCCAGTAACTTAAAAAGATGAGTTAACACTGGAAGAGCACTGAATATTCCAGGATTATGTAACTCAGAATTGAAGAATTGAGGCAGGTTTCCAGGAAATAATAACATCTAGGCTAGAATCGGAAGGCTAAGAAGTTACTCCAGCAAGAAGGTGGGGAAGGGGAAATAGTTTTGGTCACAGGGAAAGAACATATTAATATATCAAGAAGATAAAGATATCCAGGACATTCAGATAATGTTAAGGATTGAAATATGTGCATTTGATTTATTAATAGATGAGTTTTAATGAACATGACTAGAGGAATTTCTGCGGAGTGGTTACTACCACAGTGCCTTAGAAAATTGACTGTGAGAAGAGTATGAAAATACAGGAGGTATAGAAAATTCTTTCAAAAAGTCTGGTTGTAGAAAAGGTAGAAAAATAGGGCAAGAGACATAAGGTAACAGGTATGGTTAGGCTAGGCTTAGGAGAGTTGGATTCACTGCGATTGGACATGAGGAAACATTTTGTTATGATGACAACATCCATTATCTTGATTGTAATCATTTTATATGTATAGATAGATGATATTTATATACATATAGGCATAGTCATAGAGATATACACATAAATATAATAGAAATACATACATGATAGAAACATAATCATAATAAAATCTAAGTATACAGTAAGTCCTTACTTAAAATCTTTAATAGGTTCTTGGAAACTTCTACTCTAAGTGAAACAATGTATAACAAAACCATTTTTTTCTCATCAATGTTATAATGAAATGAACTTGAAGGAAATGATGTTATTCCAGGACCTGCTGTATGTCTTTTGCTTAAAGTCACAGTTTCCAAGAACCTATCAAGAACATTAAGTGAGGACTTACTGTACTTTAAATATACATATAATTGCAATATAATAAATATAACAATGTAATATATAAATATAGAGAGAGACTTATGTGTACATTGAAACTCAGCAAACTGTACACCTACATTTGGTGCCTTTTATTGAATGCTTAATATGGCCGGACACAAGATGATCACATTATCTCCAAAGAAATATGACATTGAATTAATTCATTATGTGTAAATTATTTCTCAATAAAACTCATTGAAATAACAAACTCAGGACTGGGCGCCATGGCTCATGCACAGGCCATGAACTTTGGGAGGCCAAGATGGGCATATCACTTGAGCCCAGGAATTCAAGATCTGCCTGCGCAACACAGTGAGACCCCCATCTCTACAAAACAATTTTAAAAATTAGCTGGGTGTGGTGGTTGTTCATGCCTGTGGTCCCAGCTACTCAGGAAGCTGAGGTGGGAGGACTGCTTGAACCCCAGAGGTTGAGGCTGCTGCCTGCTACACAGCCTAGATGACAGAGTGAGATCCTGTCTCAAAAAAACAAACAAAAAAAAAAACAAAAAAGTAAAACAAAACCTCGAGTATGGCTGATTAGATTTTTACATGGCAAATATTTACTCTTTTCCTCTTCTCCATGTGCTTGTTCATAGGATACTAATGTTGGGCTGGGACCATGGCTGTCTTTGGCAACCTTGTAGGTACAGTCTACTTCCCAGCCTACGGGGTTTGGACTCATCCACGCAACTTGCTTTGCCAACAAACTATTAGCAATGTGACGCAAGCACAGCCTTAAAATGCTGGGGCTTTCTTGGTCTCCCTGTCTTACACTTCGACCATCCCTGTTAGAAGAGCTTTCCCTGGGTGGCTGCAGCTCCAGAGTGAATAGACATGGAACAAATATGAGCCAAAGCTGTAGTGAGGATTCAAGGCCAGCCGGAAGCACTCTTGAAAAAGAGTCATTTTCAAGCCCAACCTAGACCAGGTCCATTATATCTGACTCACAGCTGTATGACAAACAGAAAATCAATTATTATTTTAAGCCACTAAATTTGGGTCTGCTTTCTTATATACCATTACTGTGGCGATAATAACATATGCTAAGAAATACATAAAACATAAATGGACTAAAATAATTTTCAGTACTGTGTATCTTTTATCAGATAAGTTACAAGTACATAATAGTGTACACATACTTTGTGGTGTATATCTTAAGGAGCTATCCTAAGCATTTTTTATGTTGACATCACAGAAGAACAATTGACAAATATAAACAATTTTTTTTAAGATAAAAATTTTATTCCACTCCTATGTATAAATGATTCTATGTCGTCTTGCATTACCAACTGGAATTTATGTAACATTTATCTGTACTAACCACAGTGAGGACATGATTTAATCTATTATGTAGTGGGCACTCCCAGAAAACTATCCAAAATACTTCAAGTATAAAGTTTTTCATTATTTCTTTATGGATTTTAGAAGTAGAGCACTATTTAATTAATTTGCATGATATTTAATCTCAGTTTGTATTATCCCATAATACTTAAACTGCCTCTGTTTTTAAATGAAATATATCAAACTATATATTGCTATGTAAATAGGACATGAGAATATACCCAATAGAAAATGTAAATGTTATATGTATAACTTTTCTTTACTTACCAAATGCTTTCAGAAAATAATTTCTCAGCTTCAAAACAGTCCCATTAATCAGTTATTACTTGCCTCAATTTAAAATATTAAACTCAGAGAATTTATGATTTGGTTGAAGATTATCAATTATTAATGGTAAAATGAAGATTCAAAATTCAGGTCATTAATTATTAAGTCTGCTCTAGCTTTAATATTTATAATTATATTATAATGTATATAATTATTGTATAATGATACCTATTATATGATATTTATAAAATGTCTTTTAGGATTATAATACAGGCCAGGCGCAATGGCTCACGCCTGTAATCCCAGCACTTTGGGAGGCCGAGGCGGGCGGATCACGAGGTCAGGAGATCGAGACCATCCTGGCTAACATGGTGAAACCCCGTCTCTACTAAATACAAAAAATTAGCCGGGCGTGGTAGCGGGCGCCTGTAGTCCCAGCTACTCGCGAGGCTGAGGCAGGAGAATGGCGTGAACCCGGGAGGCGGAGCTTGCAGTGAGCCGAGATCCCGCCACTGCTCTCCAGCCTGGGCGACAGAGCGAGACCCCCGTCTCAAAAAAAAAAAAAAAAAAAAAGAGATTATAATACAAGAAAAGTCAATATTACAGTCCCTGTGTGTTTATATTGGTATATTATTTATATAGCACTAACTTTTTCCATATAAACTGTTTTAATTGCCATGTAATTATTTTTAAATGATATGCTGTCCAGTATTATTAAAAAAAGAACCAGTATCACAAATAAACGTATTAAGTCAATAGTGAGACCAAGCCCATTTCAGCCTCAGAGTACACAGCTTTGTAGAGAAAAGTTCAAGTCAAATTAATTAATTATTTTCTTGGCTTCATTGTGCACCAAATATTTAGGCTCACTGAACAAATACGTCTAAAGGAACATCAAAGATATCCTCAATATGAAAGAATTGGAGTAAATAAATTAGATCCAACTGACTTTAAGTATACACCTGAAGAGAGAACAAAATTGTAATATTTCTTTTCTGCTCCACATTAGTGAGGAATTTCTCTGATCAGTAAAAATAAAATCCCACAGCTATTATATCAATGTAATTAGAACCTCAGCAATGGATAAAAGTGGAATCAGATGTCTTTCCTGAAAGCTATTAAGTACCTAAAGTGTGTTTTTGTAAATTGGATGCATGGGTTTGTAAATGCATTAAAAGAAATGTTTATTCTTTTAACGAAAACTGTCAAGATAAATTTATTAGGACTTGATACAAGACCATCATATTACTTTAAAAGGAATATGACATGAAACTTAAAGAGATGAGGCCAATGTGCATTATTAATGGTAATGAAAATCGTGGGAATTATGTAAGAGACCAACTCCCAGAATAATTCACAGACTTTGGGATCTTTCACTAATACTATAAACATCACATGAATGAGCCTTAACTTTATGTGCATAATTTAGCTTGACTGGTAATGTTACCATGAAATATCTGTTTTACCAATAGATACACAAGTGGAATTACCTGGACTTACCACTTAATACTTTGAAGAAGGGGTTTTTCTAAAAATATTTTCAATTTTTTTTCTTATGGACAAGTACAAAGAGTTGTGAGGAATGTGATAAATTTCATTTCAAACTACACTTTTTCCATTGATTTCAGTTATACTATAGGAGCATGTACCCAGGCTGGAGACTGTCATATTCTGTATGTTGTATAAATTACACTCACGTCCATTACAAAGACCATTCTGCATGAGCATTGTTTGTAGAAGAGTATTTTAAAAACGTTCTGCCACCCTCAAAAATCTGTGTTATATTCTATGGGAACATAACATAGTTAGAGTGGGAAGGATCATTAAGAGATAAAATCTGAATATATTAACAACTAGCTCAACTCATTTAAGTACATACAGAGTTAACTTCTGTTTCATTTAAAGTGACCACTCTGCTTTCTTGGTAATTTTTCAGAGATTGCACAGTTCAATCATATGTAGGCCACATTATTTCTTACTTTACAAGTGTTCGGCTGAGTTCACCAGCTGAGAGAACTGCAGGGATATTTGTATGGACTGAACCTGTCACTTCATTAGTGCCAAGTACCTCTCGGCTGAGAGTCAAGGGTCATTACCTCTCAAAAATCAAAACCAATTTTACAAATCCCCTCATCAATCCTCGTTAGGATCTAGGTAAATTTTATTCAAGAAGCATTAAGCAAATTTCAGATAAGCACCCAGTGGTGCTAATGAACCCTACAGGGGATCTTTGAAGGTCACTCAATTTTTTGTAGCTTCTTTGAAATTTTGCACAGCCTAAGGCAAATAGGAAAAACAGCTTAACTGATTAAATGTTTTACAGCAAAACTGCCTTAAGTATTCTCACAGATCGACAATAAAAATATAAACTTTTGTGTATAAATTTATATATAAAATGGAGATACAACCTTTAATAAACTTGGACAAATTTTAAATATTTCAAATAATACCTGAGACATCAAACTTTTGATTGTCTAAGAGCTTTGTGTGATGCTTCATTATATCACTTTCCCTATTCTAAAATAACATTTTCTCCCTGAAACTTTGAGAAGCAACTAAAATGTGATCATCTGTATAAAAAAAAAAACAGTCTCAACAAATGTTAGAATATGGAATTGTGCATGATGTTCCTTAACAAAGAGTTTTCAAATTAATTTCTGTAGAAAAAACTCTAATTTGCAAAGGAAGAATAAAAATATGTACATGAATCATTGATATTTTGTTACATAATCTGTTAACAAAGCTTCTGTCTGTTCCAAAAAGAAATACTGTTTGGTGGTTAGTGGCTGATGGAATACACACTTCTGCCACTTCCCTATCGTTGTACATCATTTGGAAGTCCTCCACCTTCCCCTAACAGCAAATGACTACTTTATAATACAAGCATTTCAAAGTATACGAAGTATTTTATCCTCAAACGTTTTCTTTTCCCTCATATAATTGTTTAGCTGTGTATCTAAACAGCAGTAGTAATAGATACCAAAGATATGGAGTGTTGAAACAGACCTTCTGGGGTACTGAGAAAACCCTCCAAAATTAATTAAATACTATAAGATATCTCTATTTAAAATGTATTATTCATAAGCCTTGTCTAACTTATTAATGTATTTTAAGTTCTTTAAATAAAATGATTATTAGCCATCAAATCTTCATCATTATCCATTTTGGTTAATATTCATTGAGCTTCTACATGCCAGACAATAGACTGTTCTCTTCATCAGCACATATCTGCCCTTCCATGTAACCATTATTTTTCCCATGTAAAACATATGGGCTATGCTAACAACACACACACACACACACACACACACACATACACACACACACACACACAAAGACACACACATCTCTTAAGGTCCTTGCTGCAAATGATCAGCCATGTTCTTGCTAGATGTGCTACTTTATTAATAGTATCTAGCCCTGCAGTTAGTAAATCATGTTAGTTATTAAGTTAGTTATTGGCATCTCAGAGAAATAAGGCATTGTCCTAGGAAAACACAATGTGTCTATGTAATTCTGATTTATCCTTTAATGTCTTTTTCAGGCCAACAACCTGTATTCATTGCATTCTACTACTGGGCCTCCCAATTTTCACCTTGGCCTTCAGTAACAATATGATTCCTTATTTTGACAATAAGAAAATCTACTTTGGAAAATCTGTAACTGTTCCACCAAGGGTGTTCCTAAGTACCTTGGAACCTGCAAAACACTGTGTTCTGAAGTATCTATTAAATAATAATGTTACAATCCTCCCCTGAGCAATATGTGTGTATGGTTATGAGCACGTGCATATGTAAGCAGGGAAAGAGAAGGCAAGAGAGAGGGGAGCATTTTGGCGGACACAGTCACCCTTTGGACACTGTGTGAGAAATAAGAAGACACAGCCTAAGATAATGGCTTTATTCCTTGTCATGTGCATATGTGCATGGTCACCATCCGCTGTCTCAAGTCCATAGGAACTCAGGATGTGGAAGGAGAGTGAATACATACTCCATCACAGCAAGAGGGACACAGGGATTCATTCAGTAACATCTTTCCTATCCATGAGCATCAGGTAATGGGTTTTCTGGTTTTACGGATAACAAACTATCAGAGTCCATGGATAGATTACGGTTATTCTCTGCTTAAACAACAGGTTCCACAAACTCTGCCAGAGTGATGTCTTTAAATGCAAATCTGATCATGCAAAATCATTCATTATGTACAGTTAATGTCCAAACTATTTTATTTTATCTTATTATTTTATTTTTTCAGCATCTACATTAAGGACACATGTTCAAACTATTTAATTTGGCATATTAGATTGCTCATGTACCCATTTGTGTAGACTCAGCTGTTGTTACCTTCCGCTTTACTGGACCACGTGCGGCTCATAGTACTCTTTCCTACCGGGATACATTTGCACATCCTCTGCTCTCAGCCTGGAATGCACCCTACTCTCCAGTCTCTGCCTCACCCTGATGATCCGACTGGCCAACCCAACTCATCCCTCAGGAGTTGGCACTGATGTGAACGGAGCCTGCTTGTTTGCTCTAAATTATGTTTCATGGAGGTGCTCAGTACTTGTGCTTCATAGTCACTCAGAACATATTTGGAAATGAAGTACTGAAGCATTTTCATTTGGGATTAACTTTTTCTATTGTGTAATGTTCAATTCCAGTTTTCTTTTACAATAAATATAATTGCTATTCTAATATCAACTCCACACTGTAATATGGAGTGAGTATAGTAACATGAATTCCAAATTTCATGGTTTTAACCAAGCTGTCCACAAGATAACTGAAAATTTCTGAAGACCTTACTTTCAAATGGTCTCCCACCTACATTCTACGTCTTTGCATACTACTTCAGTCACTGCCACTTAACGGTCTCCCAAAATCATCTCCCCACAAGAAATAGACTTTCCCAAAAATTCCATAAGGAGATAAACAACTACTCAAATTCCTTAGCAATAAACAAAGGTTGTTTTTTTTTTTCTTTTTCTTCGCCAGTCCTCTTTCCCTCAAAAAATATCAACTTTGCTGCTTCCTTTCTCTTTCTGTCTGCATATTCTCCTCTCTGGAATTTCAAATCATTTTCTTCTCTACAAGACAAAGAAATTCCACCCTTTTTGGCTTTTATTACCAAACTTACACATGGCAGCATCTCAGAATATTCAGAACAACAGTGTCCTTTTCAACATACCTGTAGAAGGTAGGTATTATTATAAGCAATTTTTTTCTGATGCATAATTCATTTTTTAGTTATTCTTATTTTCTAGTTTACCTCTATCTTTTCTTCCTTCCACCTATATACCTATACAGCTTTAAAATCAGTAACACCTGCTTCTAGCAGCAAATCTTCTACTCATAATCTTTGTTACTAGTATGCTTAACTGCCAACCAGCTCATGCTATCTACAAAATAAAAAAGACACAATGAGAGCCTGACAAATTATCTCCTAAGTATACTGTACATGTTTCAATTCACATATGGGCTATGCTAACAACGCGCACACACACACACACACATACACACACACACACACCTCTTAAGGTCCTTGTTGCAAATGATCAGCCATGTTCTTGCTAGATGTGCTACTTTATTAATAGTATCTAGCCTTGCAGTCAATAAATCATGTTAGTTATTAAGTAAAAAAGTATATATAGTAAATTTATAAAGCAACAATTTTACCTCACATAATTTTAGACTTAAAATTTGTATCATATTTGTAAATATCATGATGATTATTTGAAGAAAGATAGAGTCCAGGCTGTGCATCCTTCTTCAGTGCCAGCTCTTCTCTCTGTCCTCTGACAGATTACTTCATCTATTCTGTTGTCTAGGAAAATCTTTGGCTTCTCATACTAATCTAAAAATTGACTATGTTGTAATGCTAATAAAAACATGACAAACCATTAAGCAATTAAATTCGCCCCAGAATATAATGCATTTAGGCAAACTAACCACTCAAAAAATGTATTAGATAAGAAAAGTCCTTAATGACATTTTTGTCAAACCTTACAGTATATGAAAATCACTTGGGAAACTTGGTAAAACACACATTCTTTCAACACTTAAGGGCTACATATTCTATTTCAAACAGCCTGGACTCGGGACAAGTTACCTACGTTTTACAAGCAATTCAGGACATTGGAAAGTAGGTCATTATTAAGAGTACACTGGGAGATGGTCCCTCTTTGGGGTGTTTGGCCAATAGGAGCCTTCAGAGAGTGCCTGCCTGCAAAAGGGAGAGGAGCAGCAGTGTGCCCTGAAATGGCAACAACCAGCCTCTGGAAAAAGTACCACCACCACCATCTGAGTTGTAGTGGTTGCCAGTTTCCATAATGCCAACAACCTCCACCATGAGCAATATTGTGCAATCAAAATGGCATCACTGAATGTGGAGTTGGGGAAAGACATACGGTTGGTTCTTACATGTCAGCGTGAGTCAGTGCACCATCAGCGGAGCAAACTCAAAACATTGCCCTGAAGAGATTTGACCGGGAAAAGGATTGAACTCAGAAACTTCTGATGAAAGACACATACAACAGAAGTCATCGATCTCTGGGCAGAGCGTAACTGTGCCCTTCACAAACAAAATGTTGAAAAGTATTTCTTACAATGGAAGCAAAACACTTCTTTATTTTGTCTTCTGTTGTCTCCTTCTTTATTCTTTCCAGTGAGGGTCTGCATCCCTAGAGCCTGGGTGGCAAATTCAGGCTCATTCCTGGGATTCTCTTCTTCACAGCTAGCAAACTTCCTGTCACTGGCCTCAAGCACATTTTAATTTGGTGTCAGAAAAAAATTCCTTAAACTAATAAATAGATGAAAGAGATCATAGTATTTCAATGTAGTGCTCAACTTGAATGTGTTGTCTTGGCTATGGCATAATTCTGAAAGTAGAGAACATAATGTGTAGATTTTTATCCAGTGGGGAGACAAATGATTTCTGTTTGATAGAATGAATAACCCCAAAACTTTAGGTTTATTGCCCTGTAGGACACTAACCAGTTTTGTCTCTATCCAAGCACAATGTTTTAACATTTCTTTATTTTTGTTTCTATTTTTTTTTTTTTTACTTAAAGGGAACAGTACTGAGTTTATTAGCAAGCAATGATTTTAGCATAAAAAATGGATCATTTCATGAAAATAACAAGAGCAGGGATACACACACGGCAGTGATTACAGGCGTATTTTGCTATGATTCCTTTTATCTCCTTTCCTGTTAGCAAAAGACAGTCTGTACAACTTGCTGTATTTTATCCAACTTTTCCAGTTTTATAAGTAAAGTTTGGGGCTGCATTGCACCATGTGGCAACATCTTCCTCCGATCACTGCCCTTGTTTGGAAAACTTTCTAAACCAAAGACTTTTCTTCTACTGTGGCTGAATTACTATTGATACCAACTTATTTTCTTGAAAGCTCTTCCAGTTTCCCTCAGATTTAGGCATTCAACTAGGTAATTCCAAGATGGCTGACTGTTCTTTATGCAGCCAACAAACATATGAAAAAAGCTCAACATCACTGATTATTAGAGAAATGCAAATCAAAACCACAATGAGATACCATCTCATGCCAGTCAGAATGGCGATTATTAAAAAGTCAAGAAACAGTAGATGCTGACAAGGCTGTGGAGAAATAAGAACTCTTTACACTATTGGTGGGAATGTAAATTAGTTCGACCACTATAGAAAATAGTGTGATTCCTCAAGGATCTAGAACTAGAAATACCATATGACCCAGCAATCCCATTACTGGGTATATACCCAAAGGAATATAAATCATTGTACTATAAAGGCACATGCAATGTATGTTTATTGCATCACTATTTCCAATAGCAAAGACATGGAACCAACCCAAATGCCCATAAATGATAGACTGGATAAAGAAAATGTGGTACATAAACACCATGGAATACTATGCAGCCATAAAAAGGAATGAGATCATGTCCTTTGCAGGGACATGGATGAAGCTAGAAGCCATTATCCTCAGCAAACTAACACAGGAACAGAAAACCAAACACCTCATGTTCTTACTCATAAGCAGGAGTTGAACAATGAGCACCTCTGCTCACTGCTGCTAACGTGCTTTTCAGGAAAATGTTTTTATATTTACTCTTTATTGATTTAAAGATATCCTGGTCACGTGGCTGAATTAAGGAAGACACATTCAGAAGAAAATACATGTATAAACGTTATATTTTATGAAAATCTCAGCCAGAGAATGAGCAGGACGGCTGTCAAGGAATAAAAAAATCTTGTGGTCATCTACCAGTCTGGCTTCCCTGCAAGGAGCACAACCCAAGTACAAGCACAACTGGTATAAAATGTTTGTGAAAACAATCAGAAAAGATGCTCCTGAACAATGAGAACACATGGACACAGGGAGAGGAATGACACATCCCAGGGCCTGTCGGTGCATGGGGGTTGAGAGGAGGGAGAGCATCAGGATAAATAGCTAATGTATGTCGGGCTTAAAACCTAGATGGCAGGTTGACAGGGGCAGCAAACCAGTTAAAACGCATGTTAGCACCTGCACAGATGTTATCCCGTAACACTAGAGCTATAATTTTTAACAAAATTTTTTTTAAAGTTTCTAAACATTTCTATGAGTTACTTGTTTCCAGAAGTTTGAGAAATTATATATAAGTACCTTTGCAGAGTCTTGTACAAGGGATTTAGAATCACAATTTGAAGAATAACATTAATGGGACCAGAATGAGAAATGATAAATGACAAATTGAAAGAGAGTGAGAGAAGAAAGAAAAAAGAAGGAGAAGGAGAAGAAGAAGAAGAATAAGAGGAAGAAGAAGGAGAAGAAGAAGGAGAAGAAGAGGAAGAGGAAGAGGAAGAAGAAGAAGAAGAAGAAGAAGAAGGAGGAGGAGAAGGAGGAGGAGGAGAGGAAGGGAGAAGGGGAGGAGGAGGAGGAAGAAGAAGAAGAAGGAGAAGAAGAAGAAGAAGAGGAAGAAGAAGAAGGAGGAGGAGAAGGAGGAGAAGGAGGAGGAGGAGGAGGGGAAGGGGGAAGGGGAGGAGGAGGAGGAAGAAGATGAAGGAGAAGAAGAAGAAGAGATAGAAGAAGAAGGAAGAAGAAGAGAAAGAAGAGGAAGGAAAGAAGGAAGGAAGGAAAAGAGAAGAAGAAGAGAAGAAAAGCAGAAGAAGAGAAGAAGGAGGAGGAGGAAGAAGAAGAAGGAGAAGAGGAAGAAGCAGGAGAAGAAGAAGAAGGAGAAGGAGAATAAGAGGAAGAAGAAGAACAAGAGGAAGGAAGGAAGGAAAGAAGGAAGGAAGGAAGGGAGGGGAAGAAGAAGGAGAAGAAGAAGAAGAGGAAGAGGAGGAGGAAGAAGAAGAACAACAACAACAACAAGAAAAGAAGGTGGTGGAGGAGGAGGAGGAAGAGGTAGATAAAAGAAGAAACTGTAGCCTATGGAGCAAATTGGAGGGAGTAAATTCCTTTTTTCAAAAGTGTTGCTTATAGACAGCAGATGTTAATCATTCTACTTTCAAAATAAATAAATATTTTGGAAATCCTCCTACGTTCTAAATAATCTGGAGAACACAGTTTTCATTGCTCTGTGGTGTTTCTCTGACATAGACCCTGTTCTAAAGTTGAAGCTTTACTAATACTCCTTTTTTTAATTAAAAAATACATTTCTGTCATTTCTTGGCATGCTGTAATTTGGCTATATCCCTAAGGATTTTAAAAGCAATTTCCCAAACCCATACGTTTAGAAATTTTGGAAGATAGTTTATCTATCAAAACTGTAACAACTAGTATAATAAAAATGGTAAAATCAGACAAAAAGAGAGTTCTTAGAGCTTGAAAAATGAACTTGAATAAAGCTATGAAAATTTCCCAGAATACAGAGAAAAAAGAGAACCAAAGACAAACATAGAGATAAGAGAGAAAGATGACAACTTGGAGAATCAATGTATGTCTCAGAAAGAGAGAATAGGAAAAAGGAGAGGTGAAACATTCAAATAATAGAAAATATTTCTTCTCAGAGAAAAGTGTATGTCTCAGCTTTCAGACTGAAAAAGCCACCCTTGCTAAGAAAGAAAAAAATAACTACCCCTGCTAAGGAAAAAAAAAAAAAAAATCTGTGCCTAGACATACTGCTATCACATTTCATAATACCAACAGACAGTAAAGAGAAATTCTAAATTTTTTCTGAGATTTAAATCATGTACAAATGAAGAAATATGAGTCTAAAATTAGTATCATAATTATCCATGCTCAACTATTGAAGAGGTGAGGTCTACTATTTTCTAACAGATTTGGATTAAACAAATTCACAGATTCCTCAAGCTTCAGTTTTCTCATCTGTAAAATGGGAAATAACGCCTATTTTATCTTGGGTTTTCACACACTTATTAGAATACGTAGTGTCTTAGTCCATATGTGCTGGTATAGAAGAATAGCACAGGCTGGGTAACTTATGAACAAAATTATTTGCTTACAGTTTAGGAGGTTGGGAAGTCCAGTATTAGGCTTTGATGTGGTTAGTGATTCTGATTCCAAGATGGCGCCTTGAATGCTGTGTCCTCCACAGAGGAAGAATGCCAGGTCCTCACATGGCAGAAGGCTGAAGGGCAAAGAGGCAAAAGGGGGCTGAACTTGTCCTTTAATAATGGCATTAATCCGCCCATGAGGCCCAGCCCTTATGGCCTAATCACCTCATAAAGGTCCCACCTATTAATACTGTTACAATGGCAATTAAATTTCAACATAAATTTGGAGGAGGCAAACATTCAAATAATAATGTCTGGCATATATTAATACTCAATAAATATTTATCCTTAGGATTCCATCCTATAGTTACTATTAATATTAGATGAAAAAATCAGCAGAAATATTAATGTGTTTATAACTATTATTGCTCCACCCTAAGTTTAAAAAGAATTGAGAGTGACATTTACAATTTTGCATTCAAATTTACAAGTTTAACAAGTGCTTTAGATAACCATCTATGTTCAATTTATTTCTTTAAAACCCAACATCCTGGAGTTAACCCAAGAAATAATTTAATTAATTAGTATTTTACATTTTTAAATAATATATTTCTAAGACAGAAAGGATGTTCTAAAATCTTTAATTGTTCATCTTAGAGCATAGCCTATCCATTGGAAAAGTAATGTTAACAATGGATGTTTAGGCCAGTGAGTGGCTGTTCTTATTTATATCAAAAGAAAGTCATTTCTCAAGATCCCTAAATGGGAAAATAACATGCTGTTTATACATCTGGATTTTGTGGTACTAAAAGTTGTAAAAGTAAGAAAAGTGGGACATGGATTTAAAAGAATTGATTCTTTTTGAAACTAAAGAATAATTCAAGTACTCATTGCCAGGCATGCTGCTAGAAGCTTACATTTCATATTTTACTTTCCTCATAATCAGCCATTTAATTCAACAGTGCTAGGAAGTAAGTGATATTATTGCCCTCACTTTTACCACTAAGGCAGAGCCTCCTGAGCCTTATTCCTGTGCTCTTTCCACAACATTGGTGACATTAACACCATGGCTTTACTTATTGATCACCCTGTTATGCAGGTGGTCCTCTGGGCAGGGCAAGGGAGCCCTGGGAGGTCTTTGTTAGGTCTCAGCAGAAGGGCCCCCTGAGCTCCTCTTGATCCCCAAGACTGCATTTCTTCATGGTCAATATAGATTTTAATTCTATGTCCTTCAACACATAGGAGTTCTTTGACAAGCCATGGCAACATCTAAACTTGGTTCTTTCTCTTTATGCCACCCACAAGTGACTAAAGATTTCCATATATATGAGATAGATAGATATATACGGAATATATATATGGAATATATACGGAATATATATATATGGAACATACAGAATATATATATATGGAACATATACAGAATATATATATGGAACATATACGGAATATATATATGGAACATATACGGAATATATATATGGAACATATACGGAATATATATATGGAACATATATGGAATATATATATGGAACATATACGGAATATATATATGGAATATATACGGAATATATATATGGAATATATATGGAATACATATACATATGGAATATATATATGGAATACATATACATATGATATATATATGGAATATATACATGGAATACATATATATGGAATATATACATGGAATACATATATATGGAATATATACATGGAATACATATATATGGAATATATACATGGAATACATATATATGGAATATATACATGGAATACATATATATGGAATATATACATGGAATACATATATGGAATATATATATGGAATACATATATATGGAATGTATATATGGAATACATATATATGGAATGTATATATGGAATACATATATATGGAATGTATATATGGAATACATATATATGGAATATATATATGGAATACATATACATATGAAATATATATATATATTTTCAAAGTGAGGAAGTCATACCAGCGCTCTTTCAGGTGGACACTGTCAGGATTTTAGGTTTCTCAAGCTCCTCAGTTCCCCTGGAATATTTCAATGTCGTGTGACTCATACTTACAATTTGCCATTCTGAAAAATAAGTCTATTTGTGAAAACAGTGTTAGTTTTCAGGCTTCATTGTTGTTAAAAAGTGAAAAATGGAAAGTACACAAAACTTAACAAATAGACTTTCAATTAGTGTATAATACATTGGGAATTCTATGATCTAACCATCTCTACAAATCTTCCAACCCTAGTTAATGCAAATGTTTGAAATCAATCTCTGTGTGCCCCTGGACCCTCCTATGAGGCTTCTTGTTTTCAATATTCATACATAACTTGAGTATAGAAGAAAATCCCCTCATTATGGAGAAAACAAATAAAATATAGACACAAGTTGTCGAAGGCTTTGAATGCACTCTTCCCCAAAGGCATGGACGGGGTCTCCTGAAACCTGGGTGGAGTCACTGCAGAGCTGGATACAGCTCTTCCCTTATTTCTCCCACCTCTTGACTTTCCGTTCCCCTCTCCCAATTTCCCCAAGCCTTTAAACAGCTATTAACTTAAAGAAAAAAAAACACACAATTAATAAATTTGGAAAAGGAGACATGATTTCTTGGAAAGAGTTACACTCTGCAAGGTGGCATCCCACAGGCTGGGAAGCACAGCCTCCCGCAGAGATTAGAAACAGGCACCTTGGAGGAGAAGGGGTTGGGGCAGGAGCTTTATGCTGAATGGGCTGGAGGATCAACAGGTTACAGGAGGAGCTGTGAATATTCATGAAGTGGTCCTGATGCATGCGTATTGAACAAAGATGCCTGTAACATACAACTCAAGTTCATTTTTGAGTGGAGATTTAAGATCTAAATGTATTACAGTCTAGACCCTATGCATCAAAAGAAATTTTCAGGACATGAAGGCAGCCTCTGCAGACCGGCCAGAACCAGTCGATGGTGGGTGGTCTTCGTGTGAGAAGAAAGTTACTGAAATCAGTCCCTTGTCCAGTGAAAGCTGTAGTTACAGCTTGTGGAACGGGGGTTAATTAGTCAGTGTCTGTGAGCTGGATGGCTTGTAACGGTTTTAGTCTTGCTAATTTTGGGGGCAATGTTTGTTTAGCTGCTAGAGAAAATGAAAAGCCTGTGGCAGTGAGAACGTCATTTATTCTTTAAGTTTAGAGTGTGAGACTTCACCCTGGCCTGGCATGGCCTTAGGTCCTGTTAATAATTTTGTATCTTATTGCCACAGAGAGTCTGTTCTGTCAATCTTACCATCTCTATTTTAACATGAATGCTGTGTGTATAGTGTGTTTGTGTTCTGTTGTGTGTGCATCTGTGTGTACAAGTGACTGTGCATGTGTGGGAGGTGTGTGAAGCAGAGGGAGGGGTCGGGGAGGGGGAGGGGAGAAGGAGGTGTTTTGCTGAGAAAACAGTGAGGCACAGACACCTTTGGAGTTGCAGTTCCATAAGGTGTGCCACAGAAATCTCTCACCAATGGCAAAGCTCTTACCCCCAGGCAACCGAGAATTGATTTTCAGGCTTTAGTAGAAACAAATGCCCATTCCAGAAACTCATTTCTGAACGTTTCTGGAAAAAAAAATTATAAAATAATTTATTTTTCCTGGTTTTAATAAAAAAAGCATTATTTCCTACTATAGGTCAGGTAATATTTAAGATCTTTTGTTTGCAATTGCTCTAATCTCTCAAGAATTATGAAGTGAGGTACTTCATTCTGCAGGGGGAAAAAAGAAGGCAGTCTCACTCAATGGACCATAAAAACTGTGTCCAAGGTCCTGTTTGCACCTTTTCCTGCTGTCTTTTCAGATGGCACCTTCCCAGTGAGTTCAGCCTGGGCCGCAGCCATGACTCCGTGCATCACCCACTCCTCTGAGGCAGCCACCATGTGCCCTTCCTCCTCGTCCCAGCTGGGTACAAACAGCTTTGTCTGATTGACTGGAGTTGACTGTGCATTTATGGCTGAGCCCATAATGCGTACTCTCTTGTCTCTGAACAGCTGTTAAAATTCTTTATTCTCATTATGTTCAAAATGGAAATAATGAACCTTAGTGATATTCAGATATACAATTTTAGATTGGCTTTTCGATTAAATCACTAAAAACACTGATAATTTTTCTTAGAGAAATGACTCTCGAATAGCTGTCTACAAATGGCAACTGTAAAAAGAGGAACTTCTGATGTTTTAGGAACTTCGAGATAAAACGTGTTCAGGCAGTAAGATCTACAGTTGTCTTCCTTTATAGTTGTAATGAATAGAGGAAGCTCTGAGAGTCTTAACTGTCATGCAAATGTTACAAAGAGAAATAGTAGACAAAAGACATTTGAATATGCTATGGCCATCCGATGTATGGCGGGCTCTTCATCAACATCACGTCATTTGCTACTCACACAGCCCTCCTAGATAATATTATTGTCCCCACCTCACAGGTTAGGAAGATGAAGTTCCCACAGGCTAAATGCTCACTCAGACAAAGTAAATAAATCACTTAAAACAAGTAATTACAGCAGCAGGAATTTGAAAGAGATCTGTTGTTTCCCAAGCCCATGGCAACACTCTTATTTTAAAAGTATTAAGCACTCCAGATCATAGCTTTGCAATCACCATTTGGGTTCACATAAACCCAGCAATGTGGGACACTATCCATCTACACAAGTTAGCAATTGGCTGTACTGGACAGCAAATCCATAACAACAGTGGCACATACAATATAAAGTTTATTTTTCTCTTATGCAAAAGAAGGTCAGAGTTAGGCAATCAACACAGCTATAAACACTCCATGACCATCAAGGACCCAGGCTCCAAATATCACTCCTGTGCCATTTTTAAAATGTGATCATCATCTTTGTGTTCTGAGGTCGCTGGAGAGGCCAGAGCCATGACAAGTTTTGTGGAGCTGGATGGAAATGGAAGAAGAAAGTCATTGTTTCCTCCCTTCAAAGAAAACTTCCCAGATACTGCACACATTTCTTTTCACATCTCCGTGTTAGAACTTGATAGCGTGGTCATACCTAGTGATGGGGGAAGCTGGGCACATTGCCAACCCAAATGGAAGAGGGATGAGATAAGCAACATACCGCCTCTTTCCATCAGCATTATGAGCTGTGATTCTCAAGCGGGACTCTCGTGAAGAAAGGCATTCTAGAAGAGCTTCTCAAGTAGTTTTCATATGTCTCCCTACCTCCCCGACGAATAGAGAAATTGTATACTCATATAATAAAAATAAGCACTTCAAGCTCTTGTTTATGAAAGTATTTGTGTCTTTACCCTGAGTTAATATTATTGAAGTAATCTTAATAAATGTTACAGTTTAATTTGTGAAATCAATATTGATTCAAACAACTGAAGATAGCAAGAGTTGTTTGGCAAAGGCTTTATTTTTCTTTTGAGATGGAATCTTGCTCTGTCATCCAGGCTGGAGTGCAATGGTGCAGTCTTGGCTCGCTTCAACCTCCACCTCCCAGGTTCAAAAGATTCTCCTGCCTCAGCCTCCTGAGTAGCTGGGACTACAGGCACATGACACCACACCTGGCTAATTTTTGTATTTTTAGTAGATTTAGAGTTTTACTATGTTGGTCAGGCTGGTCTCAAACTCCTGACCTCATGATCCGCCCACCTTGGCCTCCCAAACTACTGGGATTACAGTTGTGAGCCATCATGCCCAGCCAGCAAGGCTTTTTAGGTGTCTGAGTTGAACCATATATGATCTTCCCAACTTCAACCTTAAATTTGAACTTTAGTAGACCTACTGATAAAAATATTAAATAGGCCAGGCGTGGTGGTTCACGCCTGTAATCCCAGCACTTTTGGAAGCCAAGGCAGGTGGATCACCTGAGGTCAGGAGTTCAAGACCAGCCTCGCCAACATGGTGAAACCCCATCTCTACTAAAAATACAAAAAATTAGCCGATTGTGGTGGCATGTGCCTGTAATCCCAGCTACTCAGGAGGCTGAGGCAGGAGAATTGCTTGAACCCGGGAGGCGGAGGTTGCAGTGAGCTGAGATCGCACCATTGCACTCTAGCCTAGAGGACAAGAGCGAGACTGGTCTCAAAACAAACAAACAAAAACATTAAATATTCCCTGTGCTAGACCAATTCCTAACACCAGTTTTATCTCTACCAGGTAAAGCCACTTAAGAACATACTGGGATTCTAAAAGTAGTGAAAATGATTTTTCAGAGTTGTACTTACTGAGATGAAAACACAGGTCCAATTGCAAAAAAAAAAAAAAAAAAAAAAAAAGCCTTTCTTTAATTCATCTGATTTGCTTTGGAATGTGGGTTGGCTGGAAATATATTCTTTGTAATCTAAATTTTGAAAGTACAGTGACACAATTAAAATTTTAGAATGTTCCTTCTCCATAATCAGTTATTTGAAAAAAAAAAAAAAAGTACTGCCTACTTAAGTGAACCTAAAGGAAAACCATGATAGTCTAACGTTATTGGTAAATTGGTGGTTTGTAAAATGGCATGCTCAGAGCAATCACACCTAAAATGTTGCTTAACTACAGCCAAGTCATTTGTTTTTTTCAGAATTTCTCTTTTAAAAGTTAACGCATTAAATCTTCAATGAAGTTAAGATTCAGAAAATTATAATTGGACATACTTTCAAATAACTAAAATAGTATGACTAGCCATAATGTTACATAAAAATATATTAGACATATCTTTATATTTCTTAGCTTGCAGAACTTCTCCTTCCCCTGATCCATTCTAAATGTATGTTTTAGAGGCTATAAATTCTTTTTAGACAAGACGAGCATGAAGCAAAGTGATTTATAAAAATCAGAATAATTAAAACAAAATTGCTTCAGTACTAACTAAAAGATTTTACTTTGTACATAAGCATAGATCTTTGTCAAAAAAAAAAAACTCTAAATGTACTTTAAGATCTTTATGTAATTGTCCCTCTTGTCAATTTAATGTAAATTCTTAGTACCATCCTAGGTTCAGAAAGTTAGAAAGAATAATCTCTTTCCTCTGCTTAGAAAATGACCACCAGTTCTCATCTGCCTAGAAGACCTTTTAGTATCCTTCAAAATCATTTCCAAGAATCCATTCTGATCTTCTGCTCATTAAACTAATCATTTTATTTTCCCTATACCTTCACAGTCTATACTCACTTTTTTGGTTATTCTGACCTATGCTATATGGTTGGCCCTTGAACAACATGAGTTTGAACTGCATGGTCCATTTATATGTAGATTTTCTTCTACCTCTGTCACCCCTGAAATGGCAAAACCAATCCCTCTTCTTCCACCTCCTCAGTCTACTCAACATGAAGACAATGAGGATGAAGAACTTTATGATGATCCACTTCCACCTAGTGAATAGTAAATACGTTTTCTCTTCCGTATGATTTTCTTAATAACATTTTCTTTTCTTTAGCTTACTTGATTATAAGAAGACAGTACAAAATATATATACAAAATAGGGGTTTGTCAACTGTTTATCAGTAAGGCCTCTTGTCAATGGTAGGCTATTAGGAGTTAAGTTTACAGGGAGTGAAAATTTATGTGCAGATTTTCGACTCTACAGAGATTAGTGCCATTAACTTTTTCATTGTTCAAGGGCCAACTGTAATATAATGCTGAATATTTATTTGCATACCAGCTTTCTTCCTGAATTAGAGTCACACATCCTGAAGACAACTGTTCCTTAGGTGCTCCTGTATCTCCAGGGCCTAGTGCTGTGACAAGCTTGATGTGGATAATAAATTGTTTGTGAAATTAAATTATAGATATGTTTTGTCAGTGAGGGTGCCCATGAATCTTAAGGAATCTAAAACTTTGAATGCAGAGAAAATGAATCAGAAGGTAATTTAAATGAGTTGCACTTCATGCCAGCAAGAAAAAAATATACAAATTTTCAGTTATTTATGCATACACTTTTTGTTTTAACCATGTTCTATTAGAGAAAGCCATTGAAACAGGCTCACTGAGAAGCTAAACAAATAAACACAGTTTTTTAAACTAATAAAAAATGTCAAGATTATCATTAGAGGGGGAAATATATATATATATTTCAATTGTAGATGATGGTCTTGTGATAGATAAAAAATATTTTTTGAAAATCAGAGAATCTTAAAAACATCTCCCTAAAGGAAAGAACACAGTTCAAAAGATAATGTATATGTAATACAACCTGTCTAGGGAAAGTTTTGCTTTCACTAAGACATCCTGCTACACTTTTGTGATGACAAAAGTGATATACATTGCCTTCTTTTCCTATGAAAAAACTGGGGCACAAAAGCAAATCTGAACACCTGCAGGCATGTAGGGCAGGGCATTCTAGACCATTGAATTAGCATTGCTTCCCCTTTGCTCACTTCCTATTCTTCTCCATTTTTTCCTCTGGTCTTGATGCTTGGACCCTTATTAAAATTTTATCTTATTTTTCTTTTCCCAATTTTAGCTTCCTTAGACAATTGTGAAGCAAGTTGAGATATTAATACATTTGGATCTAAAATTGAATTATTTTATTTAAACATAATACTTCAGTGCATCTTTAGTAAGAGATTCAGGTGGCCAGGCATGGTGGCTCACACCAGTAATCCCAGAACTTTCTGAGGCCAAGGCTGGTAGATCACCTGAGGTCAGGAGTTTGAGACCAGCCTGACCAATATGGTGAAAATACAAAGAGATTCAACCCTTAAACGGTAGAGCATGTTCTAATTTATTTTAAAATATTTTTGATGAAATATTTTAGCATTTCACATTCAACATTTAAGCTGTCCAAGCATGATGCATAATTTAATCTTTATATCACTAGAGGAGAAACAGATACAGAAAAGATATCTTTCAATGTTAACTACATCAAGAAATATTTTATCAAGTGATATAGCCTAAGCACTTGCCAACAAAAACATGATGTAATGTAAAAATGACTTAAAAAAAATAAAGTTTCCTTTTCAAGAAGATGGAGGAGACATACTTTTCCTATTTTTTTCTGCAACGTACAACTTAAGACCATGAACATTATATATACAGCAAATAGAAGAAGATGCTGCAAAGTGGAGAGATAAAGACAGATAAAGCTGGGCACCTGGGAACCCAGGGGTGGTATGGTTCTGAGTCCTCTGGGTTTTCTTTCTGCCCCATATTCCACAGATATGGAACTGCAGAGGCTGGCAACTCATAAAAGTTGATAAGCACAGCTCCAAAAAACACTGCTGCCTCTAATCAAAGTATTGGAATAAGAGAGAAAACTTTTAGACAATAACTACTCTATTCCAGCCAAAATTCAGCAAGGAAAAGAAAGCTTCATCTCCACCCATGCCAGCGAAGACCAATGTGGGCCTAGGTGAACACCCTTGCCAGGCCACAACTAAAAAGAGTGAAAGCGAGTGGGGTAGGGAAGGTAGTGGCTGTGGACGTAAAAGGGAGACATGAGGGATTTCTGTATCTGGCTGCGATATGGTATTATAATTTGGCAAAATGTTACTATTGGGGTAAACTAGGTAAAGGGTACACCAGATCAATCTGAAATTATTTCTTATAACTACCTGTGAATCTACCACTATCTAAAAATAAAGCATATAATTTTTAAAAAAGAAAAAAAAAGAAACCCTTGTGAAGACTATCACTAATCTATCTTAGCTGCCATCCAACCGATGTCAACATATGGTACTTGCAAAGTCATTGTTTCTAGGCCACTTAAGTGTAACATGCATCTGTAGCAAAGATTAGTGATGTGGTTTCTGCTTACCAAATATCTGGGCATTGCATAGCCTAGTCAAGTTGACACATAAAAGTAACCTTTCCTGAAATCTATGTTAAACAAAGAAAAAGATGAGAAAATGAGAAAGCTTCTAGCATCAGAACATACGGATGCTTTTTGTCATTTTGTGAAAATTCCCACATCTTAGGTGATTACAAAGTTGATAACAGAGAAGCCATCGATTACTTCAGGTTGTAGTCTACAAAAGCCTTGAGTTCAGGTGAAGGAATTAAGGGGGAGGCAGCACATACCAATTCTTTCTGACCCATCCAAATAAGCATATCATACAAGGAAGACAAGAAAACTCCAATGGCAAAGTAAGCACAACTTTTGTTCCCTGAAGCCCAGAAGAATTAAATGTCCTCTGCCAAAGGGGCCATGCTGAAAGCATCAGGAAACGAAAAAATTAAGCAACTCTTCTTGTGAATAATAAAGAAGTGTCCCATGCTACCTGCAGTGGTAGTGAGAAAATAAATACAAAATTATCTTGTTCACCTTTTCAAGTGCAGGTGTTAGTATAGGAATCCACCTTCCCAGGGCAAAAGATAACATCTTCAGAGACCTACAAGCTATTCTTACTGTTTGGGGTCATCCAGGCATTTTTTAGTCACTTATTTGAGATTTAGGGAGTAAGAAACAAGAGAGATTTTATGAAAGAGAGTTTAGCTAACCTTGTGATAACAGAATAATGTATGTAACCATTCCACATCCTGAAAGTGTCCACATCATCCCCTCTTTGTCTTCTATCTTAATAAAGATTCTCCATCTCACAATGTCTTCTTTCACTTCTTAACCTCCTCAGACAGAAGCATTATTTAAATATTAAAAAAAAAAAACAGAGAAAGAGATAGAAGCAAAGATGTAACAGGATAAATAGAGAGTGAGAAAGACAAAGAGAAAAAGAAAGAAAAGATAAAAATGAGAGAGATTGTTAAATATTTTTAGTGTTAATCTCAGAAACATTCACCAAGTTGTTGTATCCATAACGTAATGGAGAATGATATAATAAGCATAGATTAAGATTAATTTAGTAATTAAAAACAATAAAAACATCTAATAAAATGACAGAGAAGCTGAAAAATTAAGACGCACATAGGTTAAATCAGAGATCTTACACCTATTTTTAAGAAATTTGTAAAAAGGAAAAGATATAATTAAGAAAACAAAGAAAATGTAGATGACATTGTCTTTTTTATATGGAATGTCCAAACTCTTTAAATGGAAAGGGCCATTGAAAACTAATTGGGATGACTGAACAAAATATTTAATATACTTAAACATAATCTTGAAAAATTTCAAAACTTTTAAAATGATGCATGAATTTTAAAGGCTTCTAGGAGGAGGGAGGAGGCAAAATAATACAATGTAGTTTTCCTTCAAAGAAAACATATCTAATTAGCTTAGCATTCAGAATTCTCAATTGTTCCATCTTCAAACTATTCTATTGGAATCTGTGGAATCAAGAACTGGAATATTATTTTTATTATTAACATTTATGTCCATCAAAATTCGAGGAGAAATATTCTATAAAAAGTATACATCAAGAGAAAATTATAAGAAGATAAAATAGGAAGCACCATAAAAACATCTCCCTACCTAGACAATAATATCGATGATAGAATCTGTCTGATGTAACTGTTTTGGAACTCTAGAGTTTACTTAAGACATTCAATATCCTGGGGAGGGTTTTGACAATAAACTGTGATTGCTTTTAATCAATTTGTACTCGTAACCTGGCAGTCGCTACCCACACTCATGCCCCAGCCTCACAGAAGTCAGCTGCACACGTATTCTAGAGCCAAAGACAAAGAGAGCATCTTGAAAGCAGTGAGAGAAATATGTAAGCTACAAAATACAAAAACACCTGTATATAGAACAACAGCACAAGAGATCAACAATTTCCAGGAACAACAAGAAAAATGAATAAAATATAACTTTTTATTTTTATAAAATAAAGATCGAGGGAAGCAAATACACTTAAGTGGACTAACACTTCAAAAGTCACATACCTTTCATAGCTGGGAAAAGATCCAATGGAGCAATTACTCAAGGCCCAAGAGAAAGAGAAATTGACAGAGGTAAAGAGAAAGGTAAAAAAAATAAATAAAAAATAAAAAAAAAATCTAATTTTTAATGACCACATGTCAAATAGCATAACAGATTAGAATTTGAGGAGCTCTAGCCAGACAAAAAAAATAATGCATCCCCACTCACACTCACAGGTCTTCACTCAGTGGTCAGTGGCATTGTGACCATGGCTGGAGAAAGGGAAGACATTTGAAGAAAATTTAATCTGGAGCCTGTGGGATTCCCTCCTGAAGTACAAGCCAGGTGTCCTATGGGAGTGGGAAGCAAGAAAGAAAAGATGAGAAAAGTTGATCCAAGGCACTCAGGGCTGTCAAGAGCTAGGAGTGGCGCAGGATAATGAAGGCAAATTCCTCCAAGGTATTCCAAGTGAAGAAATAGCTTTTCAAGGGATTATCTGGATTGCCAGATAATCCCTAGCAAAACTAGAAAGTAAAGAAACTACTCAGAATTCAGGAAGGTGATTCAGAAGTTCTAAAGCAGAAAGAAATATCTCATGGCCTAGAAAACTGGTTATCTCTTAGACCAAATATGTCTAGGATTTTGTCAGTGCTTACATGTCAAGCTTCACAGTAGTCTTAATAATGTTCTCAAAATGAAATTAAATCCACTGATAAAATTAATCAAGCTAAGTCAGAAACACAGACCATACATAGCTCATATACAGGTCAAACTGATTTAGCAGCTGGCATAAAAAATAACATATACTTTTCTGGAGGTAAATGTTGTTTACTTATGTTTATGTGCATGTATATTCCAGTATGAAAAATTACAAAATGCAAGAAAATGCAACTATGGCCCAGAGAGCAAATAGTTAACAGAAGCAGAGTCAGAGATGATTCAGCTGTTGGAATTATCAGGCATGAAGTTTAAAATTACTGTGATAAAGTTGTTAAAAGGTATAGTGGGGAAAGAGATAAAATAATTTTGACAGATATAGAAACTTTAAGAGAAATCTTAGAAATAAAAAATGCAATATCAGAAAAAAAGAATCTTTAAATGGGCGTAAGAGCAGACTAGACTCAGAAGAGAAATGACCCAATGACTTTGAATATTGTAGAGTAGAAAGTGTCAAAGCAAAAAGACAAAGAAAGAAGAGTAGAAAAATAAACGTAAAAAAATACTAAGAACTATAGGACAATGTCAGTGTAGGACAATATCAATATCAGAACTATAGAACAATATTCATTTAGACATGTAATTGGAGCCTCAACAGAAAAAGATGTGTCAGAAGAAATATTAAAGAGAATATGGCTCAGAACATTTCAAAATTGATGAAAGATACCAAAACACAGATCAAATAAACTCAAACCATATACAAGATAAAACAAACAAAAACAAATCTAGGTATGTCATATGTAAATTGCTAAAACCATAAATGAAAATCAAATCTTAAGTAGCCACAGGGAAAAAACACACATAATATAAAGAAGATAAAAACAATGGATGATTTAACATTAAAAACAATGGAGGCCAACAGACAATGGAATATCTTTAAACGTTTTGAATAAAATAATATTAATCATCATAATATTCATTTGTCAACCTGGAACACCATACTCATCAAGAAGTTCTTCAAAATAAAAACAAACTAATGACAATATCATGCACACAAGTATTAAAATAATTCATCTCCAGCAGTCTTACACTACAAGAAATGCTAAAAGTATTCTTCATTCTGACAAAAAAAGGCACCAAATGAAGCCCCATTTTGTAAAATTTAAGAGGACCAAAAGAGAGTAAATAGTTGGATAAACATGAAGGCCTTCTTTCAAATATTTATACTTCTATTTATCTACTTATTTCTTTAAAAACAATTGAATAATAATACAGAGAAATAACATTATATGATATAGTTTATAGCTTATGTAGAGCTTAAATATAATATAAGAACAAAAAATCCCAGAGAAGAGTAAGGAGAATTACACCTTTATAAAGGTCTTATCTAGTTCATGAATTGTATAGTTTTTTGAAGGTAAACTAGAGCTAACATACAGATACATTTTATAATCTCTAAAGCAACCACCAAAATGATAATAATTATGATTATCATAATGCATAATTAGCTATAGCTAAGAAATAAAGACATTATAAAAAGGAATTTTAAAAATACAAAATTTAACAAAATATAGCATAGAAACAAGAAAAATAGAATGACTAACTAGAAAGCAAATTTTAAGCTAGAAAACAAAACCAGATATATTAGTAATTACATTATTGTAAATGGACTATAGGCTCCAATTAAAATGCAGAGAAGGTTGGCATACATTAAATACACACATGCACACACATATGCACAAAGACATACCACACACACATACCAAAATTTTGATGTATGTTGTGATTATAAAAATACATTAAAAAACTCAGTGAGCTTGAAAATAAAAATTACTTACACAGATATATTACATAGAAATTAAACTAGTATGGCTATTCTAGTATGTGGAAATTCGACTTCAATAAGAAGAGCATTACTAGATGATATGGTTTGGCTCTGTGTCTCCACCCAAATCGCATCTTGCATTTTAATTCCCACATGTCGAGGGAGGAAGGTGATGGGAGCTGATTGGATCACAGGAGCAGTTTCCCCCATGCTGTTGTTGTGATAGTGAGGGAGTTCTCAAGAGATCTGATAGCTTGAAAGTGTTTGGCATTTCCTCCCTTGCTCTCTCAATCACCTACCAGTATGAGAAGACATGCCTTGCTTCCCCTTTACCTTCTGCTGTGATTGTAAGTCTCCTGAGGCCTCCTCAGCCATGTGGAACTGTGAGTTAATTAAGTCTTTTTTCTTTATAAATTACCCAGTCTCATGTAGTTCTTTTAGCAGTGGGAAAATGGACTAATACAGGAAATTCGTACCTGGATAGTGGAGAATTGCTATAAAGATAACTGGAAAATGTGGAAGAACTTTGGAACTGGGTAACAGGCAGAGGCTGGAACAGTTTAGAGGCTCAGAAGAAGACAGGAAGATTAGGAAAAGTTGGAACCTTCTAGACACTTCTTGAATGGTTGTGACCAAAATTCTGTTAGTGATAGGGACAATGAAGTCCAGACTAAGGTGATCTCAGATGGAGATGAGAAAATTTATTGGGACCTGGAGCAAAGGTCACTCGCTATGCTTTAGCAAAGATACTGGCAGCATTTCGCCCTGTCCTAGAGATCTGTGGAATGTTGAACTTGAGAGAAATAAGTTAGGGTATCTGGCAGAAAAAAAAAATTCTAAGCAGCATTTAAGATGTGACTTGGCTTTTTCTGAAAGCATATAGTCGTATGAGTTCACAAAGAGATGGTATGAGATTGGAACTTTTGTTTAAAAGGGAAGCAGAGTGAAAAAGTTTGGAAAATTTGTATCCTGACCAAACAATAGAAAAGAAAAACACATTTTCTGGGGAGAAATGTAAGCCAGCTACAGAAATTCGCATAAGTAACAAGGAGCTGAATGTTAATAGCCAACACAATGTGAAAAATGTCTCCAGGGCATATCAGAGATCTTCACAGCAGCCCGTCCCATCACAGGCCCAGAGTCCTAGGAGGAAAACAACTCTTCTCATGGCTGGGCCCAGGGCCCTACTAAGCTCTGCAGCCTTAGGACATGTCACCCTGTGTCCCAAACACTCCAGCTCTAGCCATGGCTAAAAGGGGCCAAGGTACATCTTGGGCCATGGCTTCAGAAGGTGCAAGCCCCAAGCTTTGGAGGCTTCTGTGTGGTGTTAGGTCTTGGGGTGTGCAGAAGACAAGAGTTGAGCTTTGGGAGCCTCCATCTAGATTTCAAAGGATGTACGGAAATGCCTGAATGTTCAGGCAGAAGTTTGCTGCGGGGGTGGAGCCCTCATGGAGAAACTGCTAGGACAATGCAGAGGGAAAATGTGAAGTTGGAGCCCCCGCACAGAATCTCCAGTGGGGCACTTCCTAGTGGAGCTGTAAGAAGAAGGCTGTCATCCTCCAGACCCCAGAGTGGTAGATCCATTGACAGCTTGCACCATTTGCCTGGAAAAACCACAGGCACTCAGCATCAGCCTATGAAAACAGCCACAGGTGTTGTACCCTGCAAAGCCATGGGGGTAGAGTTGCCCACGGTCTCAGGAGACCACCCCTTGTATCAGAATGCCCTGGACATGAGACATGGAGTCAAAGAAAATTATTTTGGAGCTTTAATACTTTATGAGTGCCCTGCCAGGTTTTGGACTTGCATGGGGCCTATGGCCCCTTTATTTCAGATAATTTCACCCATTTGGAATGAGAACATTTATTCAATCCCTGTACCCCCATTGTATCTTGGAAGTAACTAACTTTTTATTTTTACAGGCTTATAAAAAGAAGGGACTTCCCTTGTCTCAGATGAGATTTTGGACTTGGACTTTTGGGTTAATGCTGGAATGAGTTAAGACCTTGGGGGACTCTTGGGAAGGCATGATTGCATTTTGAAATGTGAGAAGGACATGAGATTTGGGAGAGGCTGGGGCGGAATGATAATGTTTGACTCTCTCTCCCCACCCAAATCTCATCTCAAATTGTAATTTCCATGTGTCAAGGGAGGGAGCTGGTAGGAGTGAAAGGAAGTGAATGGATCATGGGGGTGGTTTACCCCATGCTGTTCTTGTGATAGTGAGTGAGTTCTCATGAGATCTGATGGTTTAAAAGTGTTTCACATTTCCCGCCAGCGCATTCTCTCTCTCCTGCCACCATGAGAATACAATCCTTGCTTCCCCTTTACCTTCCATTTTAATTGTATGTTTCCTGAGGCCTTCCTAGTCATCCAGAACTGTAGTCAAATAAACCTTTGTGCTTTATAAATCACCCTGTCTCAGGTAGTTCTTTATAATAGTGTGAAAACTGACTAATACACTAACTGATAAAAAAAAGACACATTTCATAATAAAGAAAGGGAAAGAAATGATAAGTATTCATTCATTCATGAGAGAGCTTCAAAATAAAAAGGCAAAACTTAATCAAACTGAAAAGAGAAATATAGAAAACATACATTGACATTTGGAGATTTTAATTTCTCTGTAATTGAAAAAAAGAAGTACACAAAAAATAAAAATATTTAAAAAATTAAAAATTTTGCCAACCAAATTGTTCTAATTGATACTCACAGGATATTTCACTAAATTTCAGAATACACATTCTTTCCAAGTGCACATGAACATTCTCAAAGGTATACTTTGAGAATGTGTTTGGGCCGTACAGTAGTCTCAGTAAATGTCCAAAAGGAAAATTATACAAAATGTTATCAAGACATAAAGACATTAAAATTTTTAATAATGAATGTGAACCTCCAAATATTTGAAAATTATGTAACATAAAATTGAAAATTATACTAAATAATATATTTATCCAAGTTTTTTTTTTTAAAAAGAGAGTGAAAGTGGAAATTTTAACTTTAAAAACCATTTTCAACTGAGTTATAAGATTAGAATATATAAAAATCTGGGCAATTCAGAGAAGCTCTAAGCACAAACTATATATTATTAAATGTTCATTTTAGAAGAAATACAAGTTCAATAGTCAATGGTTTAAACATACATTGCAATTCAGCAATCTCACTACTAGGTGTATATCCAAAGGAAATGAAATCACTATGTCAATGAGAGAGCTGCATTTCCATGTTCATTGCAGCACTCCTCACAAGAGTTAAGACATGAAATCAACCTAAGTGTTTTCCAATAGATGAACAAATAAAGAAAATCTGTTATAGAGACACAATGGAATCCTATTCAACCTTAAACAAGAAAGAAGTCCTGTCATTTGCAACAATATGGATGAACCTAGAGGACTTTATGCTAAGTGAAATCAGGCAGAGAAAGACAAATACCACCTGATCTCACTCATATGTGGGCTCTAAACAAGTTGAAATCATAGAAGCAGAGGGTAGAATGGCAGCAGTTGCCAGGGGCTGCGGGAAAGGGCACTGGGGAGATGTTGGTCAAAAAATACAAAATTTCAGTTACAAGGAATAAGTTCAAGAGACCTATTGTACAAGATGGTGACGATAGTTAATAATGATGTATTGTGTTTTTGTAAATTTGCTAAGAGAGTAGATTTTGAGTGTTCTCACCACAAAAGTGATAAGTACATGAAGTAATGCATATGTTAATTAGCTCAATTTAACCATTCTATGATGTATACATATTTAAAACAACATATCACACATGGTATATATAGATGTTTCTGTTGATAAAAAAAAATAAATTTATATTTCCATAAGCTAAAAAAGAGAACAGATTAAACCTAAATTAAATAGAATTAGGGTAATAACCTAACTGTAGCATACAAATCAATGCAATGGAAGGCAAGAGGAAAATCAGCAAACCAATTATTTGTTCTTTGAAAATGTTAAAAAATGGATAAATCTCTAGTAAGGCTAAATGAGGAGAAAAAGAGAAAATATCCATTGCCAATGTGAAAAATGAACAAGGGTCATTGCTCCAGCAGAGTTCCTCACCTTGATTCATTGCCATTCTGGGTGGGTGATTCTTTGTGGGGGTGGGGGGCACGTGCTGTCCAGTGCTTGGTGGGATGGTTATTAGCATCCTTGGCCTCTGCCCAGTAGATATAGCAATAGCACCCCCAGTTGTGACAATCAAAAATGTCTCCAGATGTTGTCAAATGTCCCCCTGAGCAAAATAGCATCCTTCTACAGAACCGTTGCCCTAGGTCCTACTTACATTATAATGGCGATGAGGGGGCTAAATATATGCTACTTTATCTCATTAAATGGACAAAGTATTTGTAAAGCATGACTTACCAAAAAAATGACCCAAGAAGACATAGAAAATTTAGAAATATCCACATCTATTAAAATGATGCAATGAGCAATTGAAACTCTTCCCACAAAAACCACTTTAGCATAGTGGGCTTCACCAGTAATTTCTATTAGGTTGGTACAAAAGTAACTGCAGTTCTTGCCATTGAAAGTAATGGCAAAAACCGTCATTACCTTTGCATCAGCCTAACAACTTTTAATGAGGGTATAATAACAGTCTATACAATATTCTTTCAAAAAATAAAGAAGGATCATTTTCCATCTCATTTTTTTGAGATAGAATAACCTTAATACAAAAATCTGCGAAAAGACATCAGAACAGAAAATTATATACAGAATAATATTTCTTATGAACATAAGAGACAGAAATCCATTGCTAGGTATTAGCCAATCATGCCTAGCAATACATACAATATATAATACATCACGACAAGTTGGAGTTTACCCCAGGAAAGTATGTTTAATGTAAATTTCTATATTAAAACAGCAAAAAAAGAAAAACAAACATGCATTTGAAAAAAAAAAAAAAAAACAGAATAAAAGACCATTTGGTAAAATTCAGTACAGTCTCTCAGAATGCTACAAATACAAATTCCAGAAAAAACAAACTTTTAAAAATTGTTTGTTAGAGAATGTCTTCTTAAAACCTATAGGTGCGGTGGCTCACACCTGTAATCCCAGCACTTTTGGAAGCCTAGGCAGGCAGATCAGTTGAGGCCAGGAGTTTGAAACCAGACTGGACAACATGGTGAAACCCTGTCTCTAATAAAAATACAAAAAATAGCCAGTCATGGTGGCAGGCACCTGTAGTCCTAGCTATTCGAGAGGCTGAGGCAGGAGAATTGCTCGCACTCAGGAAAGGGAGGTTGCAATGAGCCAAGATCACGCCACTGCACTACAGCCTGGGTGACAGAGCGAGACTCCATCTCAACAAAACAAAACAAACAAACAAAAAACCCCCTGGCCAGGCATGGTGGTTCACGCCTGTAATCCCAGCACTTTGGGAGGCGAGGCAGGCAGATCACGAGGTCAGGAGTTTGAGACCAGCCTGGCCAACATGGTGCAACCCTGTCTCTACTGAAAACACAAAAGTTAGCTGGGCATGGTGGCAGGTGCCTGTAATCCCAGCTACTCAGGAGGCTGAGGCAGGAGAATTGTTTGAACCCGGGAGGCAGAGGTTGCAGTGAGCCGAGATCGCACCATTGCACTCCAGTCTGGGTGACAGGGCGAGACTCCACCTGAAAAACAAACAAACAAACAAAAAACCCTATAGAGAATATTACACTAAAAAGGAGAATATGTAAATAAATGTTATCAAAGTCAAAGATAAGGCAACAGTGATTGCTATTTCTGTTCATGATTAACATAAATATATTGAGAATTCTGCAAGAACAGGTAATGTAATAAAACAAATATAAATATTATAAATAAAAAACATATCATAACATTCTGATGATATTCTACTGTCTGTTGGGAAAAAATTGGAGTTTTCTTTTGATTCCTTAGTAAGATTTCCTATTAAAACTAATAAGAAAATTTGATATTTGATATACTGTCTTGTTAAGGCAACATGCAACCATCAATAGCTTTCTACATGACAACAATAAACATGAAGGAGACACAATAAAAATATTTCAATTATAGCAACTAAACTAAAAACTATAATAATAAATATTAAAATGCACCAGAGGTATAGAAATAAAACAAAATAAAATTTTGAGGGACATGTTAAGATTGGAATTGTGGTTTTTGCCATTTAAAAGTTATGGCAAAAATCAGAATTACTTTTGCACCAACCTAATACCATATTTTTTTTTTAAAAAGAGAGACACACAATACTCTGGATAGAAAGCTTCAATTTTGCAATATTAATACTCCCAAATCAATCTAATGATTTATTTCAATTCCAAACAAGTTCTCAAAATACTTATTTATAGGTCAAGACCAGATTATTCTAAAGTTATTTCATCTGGAAAGAGAACAGGTACACAGAGTCAAATGATCATAATAGGAGATCATTGTGTATTCCAGATTTATGATATTTCCTGAGATCACATATGTTTAAATGTGTAGCAATGAAAGATAGTATTTTTACTCAGAAAAGATGTAACTGACCAAAAGACATCTAGATTTTCAAATCTGTGATAAAAGTGGGACTTCCGTAAAATATTCTCTCTTTCACTACAATTAATATGTAACAATCAACAAGAAAATACAATGGCAGGAGAAGAAAATGAAATAAGTATATGAGCATGCAATTCACAGGAAAAAATAAGACAAAACAGAATTGAAAGATAAACGTACGAAATATATCTTCAGTAATAGTAAGGAGGAAAACAAAAGAAGTTTTTTTTTTGAGGGCTATTGTTTTCACCATCAGAGGGGACTACCGTCCTTTTTCTAAAATTGTCTAATTGTCTGTAATAAATTGTTTGTCTTTTGCAACTCAGAATTTCTGAATTTTAGAAAGAAAATAGAGTACTCGTACAATATTATATAACATATTCAGCAGTGTCTAGGGTACATCCTTTCATCAAACACATTAATATTTCTCATATTCGTAAGTGAGACAAGTCAAAGATATAACTTATCTCACAAAAATTCAGTTCAGGTTTTGCTGACCACATGAATCATAAAAATTTCTGTGAGCTCAGAATTTTTAGGGTTTCTTAATTTTGAGTGAGAGATTGTGGATCTGTAATCAGTGGAGACAAAGATGCGGGGAAAGAGAAAGTCCTGTATGACGTGTAACGTGCCTGCTGGTCAACCTTCTCCAGGGGAAAAATCGTTGATATAGAAATACCTTCTGATTCAACCGGTCTTCCAGGTGTGTATCCTCCAAGATAGAATAAATAGTGTATACATCCATAAAGACCCTTGTTTTAGCATTGTCTCTGTGTATTGGTGGAATGCTATAATAAAATACCATAGATTGGGAGGCTTAAACAACAAACATTTATTTCTCACAGTTCAAGAAACTGGGAAGTCCAAGATCAAGGTGGAAGTCAGGCAAGATTGATGTTGAGGCCTCCCCTCTTGTCCTGGCAGCTACCATCTTGATATGTGCACATATTCAAGGGCAGAGAGAAGGAGAGGGAGAGCACGTGCTCTGTGTAGGTGTGATTAATTGGATAACTACCCTATGCCTGACACTTTACATGTCCACTGTTTCACCTAAATTTCTTCTTAACCCAGTTTTACAAGCAAGACTCCTACAGAGAGAGAAGCTAACCTGGCCTGTAGATATCAAACTGGGATTTGAACCTCAGCTGTAGAATTACAAAACCCATCTTTTCTGAGCTATGATCAAATGAACCACCTCTACGGCCTCTGTTTTCTTCAAAACCATCTGGTAAGGATATGAGAGAAAAATGTTTCATCCTTAGTAATCAATTATCTACATTTTAAAATATTAATATGATGAAAAATATAAGATAATTTAAAATGTGAATGTTCACATTTTATGTGCTATTATGTTTCTGTATTTAGAAGGTAATAAATACAGTTGTAAGTAGCAAATGTAGTAGTAGTAGTAATAGCAGTTGCAGTTGTAATACTATTACTACTATTATAGTAGTAGTAATAACAGTAATAGCTGACCCTTATTGAAGGCTCTCTATGTGCCAGGCACTACTTGAAACACTTTACATGTAATAACTCATTTATATTTAAAATAACCCTATAAGGCAAGTATTATAACTATCTTTATTTTACAGGCAATGAATCAGAAGCAAAAGTTTTAATTTTCCCCGTCTTATATGTAGAAAATAGTAAACCCAGAAGTCTGGTTGGAGGCTGTAATAATTATCTCTCAAGAGTCTTATTTAACAAAAGAATCTAATACACCAAGAAGAAGGCAAAAGCTTCTAGCTAAGAGATGAAGAGAAAGGATTAAAAAAAAATAAAGCCTGTTTCTGGGCATGGAGACTGCCCCTACCTATTTGGGGACTTATATTACATAAAGGATAACTCTTAATTATTTTTATTTGTAAAAGGAGAGTGGGAATAATAATAAGATGTCTAAACAACTAATTTTTAGAAAAAAGTTTGGCAAAGAAATATAAGCATCAGGAGCTTGATGCGGGGACTCATTATTGTGGTCCCAGACCAAGCACTTAACGTCTCTTTGATTGTTTATTTTTAAGTTATGCAGCCACTAAGTTTTGGGATAGGGTGTTAGGCACAAAAACCTAACTAATGCAAATATCCTACTAAAATCTCTCACAAAGCAGTTTTAGGTTTAGGATCCATAAATATGAAAACATTAATTGTACTTTTAGTGTGTGGGAATTATGCTATAATTGAGGGATCAGATGAAGTAAAAATATGTCCCCAGAAAGTTAATACTTAAATAAGGAGAGACACATGCCTAAGTAAATACAATACTGAAGAGTCAGTGGGACTCAGTGTGTGAGTACATGCTTGTAGTTTGGGTTAAGATTATGAGAGAGATAATTGGTCAGGCGCGGTGGCTCACGCCTGTAATCCCAGCACTTTGGGAGGCCAAGGTGGGTGAATCACAAGGTCAGGAGTTCGAGACCAGCCTGGCCAAAGAGATGGTCACAACATCCTTTGTGGCTGCAGACATTAGGACAAGGTGATGTTTAAGCTCACCCAAGTGAGCTGATGTTAAAATACGAGGAGGGAAAGGATTATGTATTACATGTAAGAGAGAGAGCCAAAATAAGAGCAAGAAAAGTTCGAGGAAAGGCAGTCCATCAGTCTGGTTTGGTATAATAGCAGAGTATACGTATGCCCTTGCGATGGAAAAGGCTGCGCAGAAACAGGCAACATCACTGGAGGCTTCACACGCCCTTCATTTTCTAAAAGGCTGTAGGTAGGTATGTAGACATTCTAATAAAACTTCTTCAAAAAGACAAAGCTTGCTTCTGGCAGGATGAACTAAGACAGTCAACACTGAAGACAGTAGGATTCATAAAGTAAAGCACAGAAGAAAAGAATGAAAGAAGAAGTAAATCTTGCAATGGAAGAATGGAAAGAATCTGGCCCCAGATTTGATCCAAGTGTCACGGTTCATGCTTCAATCTGGGTAATTAAAACACATTCTGCCTGTAATCCCAGCTGCTCCGGAGGCTGAGGCAGGAAAATTGCTTGAACCCAGGAGGCTGAGCTAACAGTAAGCTGAGATGGCGTCACTGCACTCCAGCCTGGGCGACACAGCAGGACTCTGTCACACACACACACACACACACACACATACACAAACACCCACAATTCTGAATGCGGTAGAGAGGGTTTGAAGGAGAAGGATGTACAGCAAACTGTGTTTAACACAAACTGGATTAAAGAATAATTTCTTTTGTCTGATTGTTTGATAAAGGATAATGACATTAAAAATAAAAGGGCCAATTATCCAACTGTCAGAAGGGCTTAAAGCTGCCCTGGAGAGAAGTCACAAGGTCAACTCCACACCCAAACTTCCGTATTTGCTATTGCTGTTAGTGTTGAATGCCCATTGCAAAGTCCAATAATGATTGAATACGTGATTTTTGTAAAATTTTATTCCAATATATTTTATCTTTTGTTGTGATATAATGAAGAATGCAGGAAATTATTCAGCTGAAGTATTCATTTGTGTACTGTGTATTCAGCAAAACTTGGGAAAAAGAATAATTGTACTCACAGGATCCAAATTTTACTATAATCCTGCAATGAACAAGAGGAGTTTATAGCAGATGTCCAGGAATGAAAATGACAACCCAGAGGGTGAGGCACAAAGCCCCTACATTCATGGTTCTAAATGGGGAGGCAGGTAGAAAACGAAAAGAGAAGGGGAATGGGTTGGAATCACCTTGGTCTTTGCAGATTCACTAAGAGATGAGACTGATTAATCCATATGCATTTTAAAGCATGTGTGTGATGGGTCATATCTTCTAATAATTTTGTAAGCAGCAGGGCCTTATCTGAAAATGGTCATTCTGTTCCTATGTCTAGTGAGGGAAGAGCTCTCAGGAAAAAGTCAGCAAGACAAACAGGACGGGGCAGGTGCTGCGGCCAAGCAGAACATCAGAAAATGTGGGCACAGGGGGTGTCTAACTTTGGCATAATGGGGGGTACTCTGCAGGACAGCTGGCCCCAGGGCCGGCCTCACCCATGAGGTGAGGGGCAGCCTCTGAGCCTCGTGCCAGGCATTGGCCCCTGGTGTGAGGAGCTCAAGATGCTCCCACTGGACTGTAACCCCTTCTCCAGAATGGGGGGTGCTGAGTTCCTGAAGGCAGGAGGGATGAAGGGCAGCTCCAGGACACAGGGCTGGGCAGGGGCCAAAGGATCCCATCACAGCCTGTGCTCTTCCTGCCCTCCACATAGAATTTATTTCTTAAAAATCTTCACCACGTATCTTCATGGTAAATCTGGGGCAAAGCTTTAAAAGCATACAGTAAGCATTTATAATTTATGGCTTTCCATTTCAAATTCCATTTTTATATTGTATTTCTTGACCAGCAGCACTGGTCAAAAGTTTCTTTTTCACTTTCTCTCCTTCCTTACCTCTCTCTCCCTCCTTGTCTTCCTTCCTCCCTTCCTCTCTTCCTTTCTTTCATTTTTTTCTTGGCATTTTAGCAGTTAAAGAAAAAAATAATAAATTAAATGCCACATTCAGAGTTATATATCTTGGCAAAAATAGATGGCTGTTTAAGCACACTAGCAATGTGCAATAAACCATTCCATGTTAGTAAGCTGAAAGTGTTGCCATGTGCCTGAATATTTTGTTCTTGCATAGATGCAGATATAAGAAATGAAAAGCTTCTAGGCATTCAGCTCAAAATCTAAGAACACTAGACCAAGAGCTTGAAAAACATCAAGAAATACACACGAGATTTTAGTCTTCCCTCATTTTATTTTATGAGTACTTAAATATTTGAGAGTGATGTAAGTCTTTCCAGAAAAGGCTGAGCAGTGTGCAGTATGTCCCAGAATTTTTATTTTTATTTATTTATTTATTCATTTATTTTGAGATGGAGTTTCACTCTTGTCACTCAGGCTGGAGTGCAATGGCATGATCTCGGCTCACTGCAACCTCTGCCTCCCAGGTTGAAGCAATTCTTCCGCCTCCAGCCTCCCAGGTAGCTGGGATTACAGGTGCCTGACACCACACCCAGCTAATTTTTGTATTTTTAGTAGAGACAGGGTTTCACCATGTTGGCCAGGCTGGTCTCGAACTCCTGACCTCAGGTGATCTGCCCACTGCAGCCTCCCAAAGTGATGCGATTACAGGCATGAGCCACTGCACCTGGCCAGTATGTCACATAATTAAGTGGGGTACATATTGCAATGAGTGTTGCACTCCCCCTTTATCTGAGGGAGATACATTTCCAGACCCCCAGAGGATTCCTGAAATTGCAGACAATACCAAACCCCACTGCTGCCATTAAGAATGCATTTCTGTTCATGTCTGCCACTTACAAATGTAATGTCTCTCCCACCTTAACTAAGCACTTTTCACACACTGGGACCACAACTTTCGCAGTTTGAAGTGCAACAGTAAAACCCAGCATAAATTTCTTCTTTCTTCACATTTTCACAGATAGATGATTCTTTTTGAACATAAAGCATAGCAATATTTTCTTTCCTAATTAAGTTGAGAACTTTCACCTCTTCACTTAAAGCAAGCACTTCAAGTCTTCTCTTTGACATACCCAATGACAAGCATAGCCATTTTTGTGCTTTGGGGCACAAAATTAAGTCAAATGAAGGTGACTTGAATACAAGTGCTGTGCCGTGACAGTTGATACTCAGGCAGCTACTAAATGACAGTCAGTGTAAACAGTGTGGATCCACTGGACAAAGGGAGGAGCCACATCCCAGGTGGGACACAGTGGGATGGGTCACGATTCCATCACGATGCTCAGAAAAACATGCAATTTAACACGTATTAATTCTTAACTTCTGGAATTTTCCATTTAATATTTTCAGACTGTGTTTGGGCAGGAGTAACTGAGACCCTGGAAAGTGAAACTGTGGGTGAGGGGGCACTACTGAATCTTGAAGTGCGCTTTGTCCCTCCAGACAATCACGATGCACCAAGCCTTCACTCTCCTTTCACCTGCGACATTGTCATCTAGTTATATATTAGAATATGCTGAAGAGACACTTTTTCTCTTAATTGCTTCCAAACAATTGCAGTAATTTGCCCAATTAAAAAGGGGGAGGGTTACGTGGAACCTTTGAATGCTCCTTCCCCAGAAGGGCTGTTCCGCCCTCCAGGGGTTCTAGTAGCCACAGAGAGCAGCCGTGAGTTAGGTCACCTCTGCCCTGATTATTGCATGTCCTCAGAGAAGCATGAAGAGCTTTGATGTCTTGAAGCATGTTTGGTGAATTTTGTTCTTTAAGTGAGGAGCAGAAGCCATTTTAGCTGGAAGGGAACAGTGATCTATCTTTTGAAAGAGGAGAAATGATGCGTCCTCCATCCAATTACACACTGTCAGCAACAAGGCAGCTCATACCTGCTGCAAAGAGGACAGAGAGAGCATGTGCTGGAAGCGACAGGTGGCTCCATCCTCCCCCGCTTTACCCAACCTCTCCTGGAATACAGAGTGGGATATTGGACACCTTCCATCACAAAGTGGCCTTCTTCTCAGGTCCTCTTCCTCTCGACACCCCGGGTGGTCAATGTAGAATCACTGGGGTGAAGGGGTGAAGCTGGGGGCTGTGGGGCTGGACGGAGATAGAACAACCCTCTGGTCAGGTCACTCACCAAGGCAGTGAAAATGTAGTTCAACGAAGCTGCAAGGAGTGCCAGGGGGTTGGAATAAATCCTCCTCTATCACCAGAGGGCTGGACGTGGTCTATTGTCTGGAGGTCTCTGGAGTTTAGCTGCCTCGTTTCCAAATGGGAAGAAAAACCCTCCCAGGCTACCTCACAGAGAAGTTGAAGATCAAGGGCATGGCATAATTTTGTAATGAGTACCAAGTTCTAGAATGTGCAAGGTATTTCCATCAAGTTGCTTTTAAAAGCGTGGGCATGGGGCTCAAGGATGTGTTGTAGTTGGTGCGTGTCAGTTTGCTAGATCCATGCATTTATGATTATTGGTGGGAGAGCCAAGGCGCCTGCTGTGGCTGTGCAGAGTAGGTTCTACCAGAACTCAGAATGCGGCCAACCCTGGCCTCATGACACCCCCTTTCTACGTGCGAGGAGGCAGCTCGGGTTCTGTCCTGAGGAGACCGTCCTGTGATACTGTCCACGGTGGTCACACTGTCTTCCTCATCACAGGCTCTCAACCTCGAAAGCTATAAGCACACCTGTCTCAGTGGCACATGCTCACGATGCTTTCATCTTGAAAATCTGCGGTTGGCTTCCTATTTAAATCACAATATTGTAACTACCTCCTGTAGGCTCAAGGGAACTTCCCACTGCCATTAGCACTCTTTTCCTAGGACAAAGGTCTGAGCAGGGCCCTGCCCTTCAGTGGCTCCCATCTGTGTCTGTTTACCTCCTGTACCTGCCAGCCTGCTCCTGAATTCACAGCAACATTAGGCTGCATTCAGTTCCATTCTTGCTCCCGGGTTCCTGAGCCTTCGTGCTTGATGGTCTCCTTCATTAGATTCATGTCCTTTCTCCACCCTGCAACATTTGCCTATCCAACCATTGTTTTGACTTCAAAATCCAGTGCAGACACTGCCACTCTTCTGCTCAGCTCATATGATGTCTCCTCCAGGACTCATTCTGACAGTTGTCCACTACCCTGACACACACACCCCCCCGAGTTAAACCCTTCTTTCTTCTATAAAGTGATTTCTTCATTTGCTCCATGCACTGTGCCATGATATATTCTCTTTTTATGTCTCCAACTCCCACTCTTAAGTTTTCAATTTTAAAATGTTCTTTGTTTTGTTTTTCAGAGCTTTTGCCTGTTGTATCTTTGAACCCTGATCACCTGGAATGCCTGCAACAAAAACACATTCAGCAAATGCTAGGGAAACACAATTTAATTAAAAAGGAGAAAATGAAAGCAATCAGTAAATGCTTTTCTAGCTCCTATAAGATGCTAATCAGAATTTCATGAACTATGAACTTATCACTTATTATTATTCCTAGCCTCTTAGAAGTCATAGCATACAACCCATTCAACCTACAATCTACCCTTAGCCTGCCCCATCAGCCTAGACTATGCAAGCTGGCAGATGCACAAGGCACTGGGCACTTGTTGTGGGCACTAGTATCTCCAATTGGTTTTGGTGCCAAGATAATACCAGCAGGTGTTTCCTGAATATGCCTTGGGGGCCAAGTGCCTACCAGCTGTATGTCCTAAACCCAGGTAGTGAGAGCTTTCTGTCCACGTCGCTATCTTCCTTGACTCTCCACTGGGATAAAAGCTGAGCCGAGGCCTTAGCCTGGATAGCTCCTACAAGACCTCTCTGCTCAAGATATGGGGGAAATTTTATTCATTTCCCCATTTTCTACTGGTGATCTTGTTCCAAACCGAATGGCGTGCTGTAACCCCAGCTTTGCCCCCACTTGACTCAGATCAACCCTGGACGACCCAGACAGTGACTCCCACTGGTAAGCCTCCCACACAAGAACATCACGTCTTTAAATCCCCAAGTTTTTGGACAATAATGCTCAGTCCAGACCACACCCTGGGACAAAAGCCTGAGTTACTTTTGGGCAGGTGCCCTGCTGCAATTCCAAATTGTCCTGATTTTCTCAGTTCTGTTTCAGACTCACTGTTAGAATATTAACATCCCTCACAGTTAAAGGTACAGATTTGTGATGACAACAAGGAAGTAAGATGTAGGTCTTGAACTGAAAGGACATTCTGAGTCACTGCAGAAATGACTTAGAAGAATGGAACAATAGAACACATGTTAAAACAACATAAGTGGGGGTATAGAAAAGAAAGGGATGATCAGGAGCCAAGGGGCCCAAGGGGTCATGGAAGTCTTGTTGAAGGAAGCCTCATAAGGCCACAGATCAGGCATTTCAAAAGCAAATTCTTTCAAAAGGACCAAGCATCCAATGTGTCTAATGGCCTGATTTATGGAAATGGAAAGTCTAGAAGAGTCCAGATTCTGTCTTGTACCAAAGAGTGCTTTCTCAATGTGGAAGGACCTCAAATTCAATGAAACAAAGTCAAACACATATGCAAGTCCACTAAATTATTATCAGGGCCTCCCTGGGACTTCAGGTGACCCATTTGGAATGCCCAATCTACAAAAGGGAAAAGAAGGCACATACTGCCAGAAGGAATGGTCTGACAAGGGCAGAAAGGAAGGGTGAACATGGCACATAGATGCGTGAGCACAGTCAGGAATTGAAACATCATAGGACAAGTGGGATGTAGACAATTTTTAAGAAATCTGAATGATGGCCAAGATAATTCAGAATGCTCTCATAAGAAATATGAAGTCAAATGAGTTTCCAGGACAGGTGACGAGCAAAATAGATATGCTCCACAAATGCCCCACAAATAACATGCTCCACAAATAGCATGCATAATGATAGAATTATTCTATAAAAGGACAGAAAATAAATACTTTAACTTTCTAAGAGATTCTGTTCATTTTAGATGTTAAGATTTTTGTAGCTTCTAAGCATATTAATGATTTGAATTCTTTACTGTGAGTAACTTTTGTAGTGGAATTTCTCATGTAGATGATTTAATGTAGGACAATAGGATAATTCAAATAAAATTATAATTTAAAAAATGAAAGAATCAACAATACAGTAATATAAATATATAGTAAATATTCGATATTTGTAATACTTATGGATTTTTTTTTCTTGCTGTTTAGGCTTCTACAGTCTTGCTGTGGTTTAATTTCCTAAAGAAAACCTGGATAAATAACCTAAGATAATATTTTAATTCATGGGAAGTGGTGTCAGCAGCAAAGATTTGTCTTGGCGTCCAGCCTAGTCCATTTTATTGGTGATTTCCCTTCTTCATCTACAAAGATAAAATTAATTTTTAATGTGTGCTGGGAGGTATGCTTTTGCTCCTCTCTTTTCTCGCTCTAATTCCTCTAAAACATGGATTAAGTGTCATTGAGTTAAATTACCCGACTCAAATCTACTGACAAGATATTTCCTATATTAACTGTAAAATAAGTTAAAAACATGTAAAGATAAAGAAGTATGGGGTCCAGAAAATTTCAGCAGGATAGGAAGGTGAACTCTTAAGTGAGGTGGCAGCTTTCACTTTTAAACTGAGCTCCGGTATTAAAGGGACTTCTCTCCCCCAAGTGTATGTGTGTGAAATGCCATTTGGAGGCCACTAGGAGGTCAGGATGTCATCGGCTGAGAAAGGCTTCTCTGCAGCTTTACTCCAAATGGAAAACCATCAAGGTCGAGCTCTCACCCCTTTCTCCTCATGAAGGGATGGGAAGGGTACACTTCCCCTTCTTCTTTTGGAGGGCAGGGTTACACCCTGAAAGGCCAGAAAAGGGCTTCTGAAGCTGCTTATTTATGAAATGCACTATTACCTGAAAAATACATTACAATATGAAAGTAATTGTACCATAGTAGACAGACATACATTTAAAGAAGTAACCCAAACATAAGCTCTATTGGTTTTTCAGCATTTGGCCCATATGCTAAGACATCATCAGACTTATTAGTCATCGGTACCATCTGACGAATGTGTTGTGCTTGAGAGAATGATCATCATTTTTGTTTTAACCTATCCTCAAACAAAACCTGAAGATTATTTTTAATGGGAAATTGTGTTGTTAGGTATATGAAAAAATTATAGCATCAGATAGACCTGGATTCTAATTTTGTGTGCCCAGTATAAGCCACACAATTGCAGTGGAGTTGTCCTCACTGAGCACCTGTTTGTCAGACCTTGGGTACAGGAAGTTTAGTAATAAAGACACGAGATGCCTGCCCTCAAGAGCTTACAGTAAACCAAGATAAGGCAGTTAGATGTGGTGGCAACAGGCACGACTAACACTAAAAGAGAGGGATGATGCCCAGCTCGTTGGGTTTATGTGAAAGAAGTGCCTGGCTCTGTCCGTCAGGATTCAATCAAGAAAGGAGAACTCTTCCAGGCATTTAAAGCAGAAAAAAAATTCATAAGTGATTTGGGTGCTTACATAGAAATAGTGAAGTCTGAAGAAATGAAAGCCGAAGCGACCACCTCCCTGACTTACAGGTTTATGGATACACTGAGGTTTAGAGAGTCTGAATTGCACCCATTACTCAGAGGTCCAGAAACAGCTGGAAGCTTCTAGTTTCAGGTTTCTCTGTAGATTCGAGTGGAGGACTGGCAGGGAATGAACGGCTTCTGCCCCCTCTGCCCTCCAGAACTCAGGGAATCAAATCTCATGGCCAGACCAGTACATAGATTTTACCCAGCGTCCCAGAGGAGGAAAGATAATTTGCCTCTTGGTGTTCTAACTCGCTGAACTTCAGGGAGCAGAGCATGCTAAAGCCAAGTAGGAAAGATGGCCCATCAGTCACTCCAATAGCCTGAAGCCCTGAGTTACGCACATTTGGACATATAGAAGTGTGTTTCAGAGGAAGAAAAAAGCACACTCAGGTACTTGGGGACAGAAAATAAACCATAGTAGAAATAGTTAATTTTCTTTCTTTTGTTTGTTTGTTTGCTTGCTTGTTTGTTTTGAGACAGAGTCTCGCTCTGTTGCCCAGGCTCACTGCAACCTCCGCCTCCCAGGTTTAAGCGATTCTCCTGCCTCAGCCTCCCGAGTAGCTGGGTTTACAGGCACGTGCCACCATGCCTGCTTGATTTTTGTATTTTTTAGTAGAGACAGGGTTTCACCATGTTGGCCAGGAGGGACTCGAACTCCTGACTTCAGGTGATCCACCCACCTCGGACTCCCAAAGTGTTGGGATTACAGTCGTGAGCCACCGTGCCCGACCAATTTTCTACCAAAATCAACTGTTCTTATTTATTTATTTAAGTTCATGGGTACATGTTGAGGTTTGTAATATACGTGAACTTGTGTCATGGTGGTTTGTTGTACTGATTATTTTTCACCCAGGTATTAACCGTAGTACTCATTAGTTATTGTTCCCGATCCTCTTCCTCCTCCCAAACTCCACCCTCAAGTGGGCCCCAGTGTCTGTTTTTCCCCTCTATGTGCCCAAGTGTTCTCATCATTTAGCTCCCACTTGTAAGTGAAAACGTGGTATTTTTCTGTTCCTGAGTTAGTTTATTAAGGGTAATGGCCTCCAGCTCCATCCATGTTCCCACAAAGAACATGATCTCATTCTTTTTTATGGCTGCGTAGTATTCTATGGTACATACCTACCACATTTCCTTTATCCAGTCTACCACTGAGGGGCATTTAGGTTGACTTTATGTCTTTCCTATTGTGAATAGTGCTGCAATGAACATACGTGTGCATGTGTCTTTATGAAAGAATGATTTCTATTCCTTTGGGTATACACCCAGTAATTTCTTTCTAAAGAAACATATAATATGAAGAGCAGTGTTGAGCACACAGGCAGGTTCTCTCCCGTGGAGGGTGAGCCATGGGGATGTGTGTACTTTGGTAACGGCTGTTAAGAAAGTAAATGTGCCTTTTCCATGGAAACTTTCTCTGTTGCTGGGTGTTCTCATAGTGGTGACCAAATATCGGCACTGCTTTTAAAATAGCTGAGAGAAGGGGCAGGGAGGGGGTAAAGTAAGTTGGTAGAAAAGGGGCCATGTCGGGAAGAAGAGTAAATTCATTTGCGGAGGAAATAAAACACATGTGTGTGTGCATGCGTGCGTGTCTCTGTGTGTGTGTGTGTGTGCGTGTGTGTCTCTGTGTGTGTGTGCATGTGTGTCTGTGTGTGTGTGTGCATGTGTGTCTCTGTGTGTGTGTGCATGTGTGTCTGTGTGTGTGTGTGCATGTGTGTCTCTGTGTGTGTGTGTCTCTGTGTGTGTGTGCATGTGTGTCTCTGTGTGTGTGTATGTATGTCTCTGTGTGTCTCTGTGTGTCTGTGTGTCTGTGTGTCTGTGTGTCTCTGCGTGTGTGTCTGTGTGTGTGTGTGTCTGTGTGTGTCTCTGTGTGTCTGTGTGTGTGTATGTGTGTGTGCATGTGTGTTTCTGTGTGTGTGTTGCAAGGCATGAGTAAGAGTTAAGGAACTGGACTGAAAGTGGGGACTCCTCTATTACCTTGTTGACTTTGAATTTCTGAGCGTTGTAGCTCGGATGCGGAGATTGCTTACACAGGGGCAGTCCTTGCTCTGAAGACATTGCTGGTGATTACACTTTGAGAAATCAATGGAGTCCTGTGTTCTGAGATTTTAGCCTAGAATAGAATGTCTCTTTAAATCTTGTATGAACAGAAGAAGTCACCAGTGGGAAAAGCAGAGAGCTCCCTGTTAGCCAGGCCCATCCAGAATTTAGAAGCAGAGAAACAGTCTCTATGCATTGCTTATGAAACATACTTTTCTTGACTCTCAAATTTGGTGAAAACAAATTCGTTCTATGATTCCACTGCATAAAAAGTATGCCTTTTTCTTAAAATACAACTTAGATATTACAGGACACGTATGAAAATGTTTACAAAGGGTTGCTCCTCTGCAGAAATCCCCAGATAATAATAAAAAAGAAATATTAATGAATAGTTAATTTTAATTAATTTATTTCATCCATAATTTTAATGCATGTAAATAATTATGCTACATGTCATGTAAGGAAAAACAAATGAAAAATAAAATTTCCATCACCACAGAGACTCCAATATTTAGTGAGATAAAAATGCAAATACCGAAAATGTGCTGCAGTATATGATCAGTTTCAAAAGAGACGTATTAAAGGAGAAAGGCAAGGCTCACACTTGGATCTCCATCTGGCAGATGCAGGAACAGAGGATCCAATTGTCATATCTGAATGATGTGCCCAAATGCACTCGGCCAAGGAGTGAAGGTCTGGGAATCAGACACTGCACATCCAGTTTGCTTTCAACCGTACCAATGAGGAAGTTGTCAGCACTTAGATTAGAAATTCAGATTGCTGTCAGATCACTGAAGGCTTGGATGAGGACAAAAAAAAAAAAAAAAAAGATGGATTCCATAGGCTAATGAAGGTTTATTTTCAGCAGTAGAATGGCATCATTTAAATAGTATTTTTTAAAAGTCTGGGTGGATAACAAGATGCAGGACAGATTCAGAAATGTAAAGATTGAAAGCAGGGAGAGCACTAAGAGATTATTCATTGAGACTGAGAAGTCCTTAACAATAGTAATGTTATTACAATGACAGTGGTTGAAGGACCTGTTGGGGACTTTCCTAGCCTCCATGACTGACCATGGTTACTGCAACCTAAATGAAATCATGACTACCCTCTTGGCATCAGTGGCCTTTTGTGATTGTAGCTTGGTAAAGACTGCAAAATAGTTCCTTTGGCTCTTCTGTGCCTAAAATTTATTTTCTGAATGTTTTATTCTTCATCCTTGATAGTTAGATTTAGGATACATATAAAATAGGTATTTTCATTTCTATTAAAAAAAAATCTTCCAAAAGAGAATATGACACACTTTCATTATGACGCATACTATTCAGAATTTCATTCCCCTTTTTGGCATATGAGGCAATTATAGACATAACCATACTTGATGAATAAATAAACACAAAGACTTTATTATTTCTTTAAAGTGCTGTTATGCATATCATCATCACACCTAGAGAAAACTGTAATAATTATCCTTGAAACATTAGCTTCACTTTTCATTTTTACTGGGAAATTATACCCTAAAACTATGGTTTGTAACCTATAGCGAATTAAAAATATTAATAAAGGCCAATTTATACTCAAAGAACATTTTAATATGCTTTCAGGTACATACCTTATTATGTAATTTATTATTTTAAATTTAGTGATGGTCCCTATTTCTTCTGTGAGGAAAACAGCAACCTGTGTTTCCTCCTCAAAGCGTCATATCCTGAGTTTGATTGCCGCTACTGACCTGCAAACACCTTCTATCTCATTATATCCATAAGTTTGTTTTAATACCTTCACTCCTGCTAATTACCTGGATCATTCTATACCATTCCCTATAGGGAAATCTGCTGAAGTTTGGATTTTAAAATACTAATTAAAAAATTCATTAGTGTGTAAATTAATTTCCTCTCTTTGTGTTTTCCTCTCCCTCTTGATAGCCATCAGAGTTGGAGAAGCAATCTCGTTGTTCCTACACAGAGATCCAGAACTTGCTTTAATTACTCTGCCTGGGGTCCCAAATCAGTCAGCAGTGCCAGGGAGTAAACTTGAACACAAGGAAATCTCACTCAGGCAGCTCTTGGGGCCAGGTGAACATTTTATGATGATCTCTTCAACAGTATGAATATTTCAGCACTGTGTCTTCTGCAGACACCTCTGCTGGTGTTTCTCCTATTTGAAAATACTCTTCTCTGAGATGTAATGGTAAAGAGCCACACATTAATCAGGTCAACACAAGCAAGGGAAAGTGGACACTTGGAATAATTAGCAACAGAATTCAGGTTCTCCAAAATGATATTCTGGTACTAACACTACACAAATAATCTCCACAGATGTGGCTGCTTTTAGATCAGGCTGCTTGGAGAATTCTTGCAGTAGTAGAGAGTGGGCAGAAGATAAACTACAATTTAATCTCTGATGGACACCAGTTCATGAAATAATTAGCTTTATATACTTAGCAACCACTTAACATGACTGGAAAAATGTTTATTGTTAACAGTAACATCAGGGTCTAATTTACTTATCATTATTTCTCTTGGGCCCTTAGAAAGACTACATCCATCAAAATGGTGAAAAAGAAGGATGGCTAGAGTTTTGCATTTTTTTTAATTTACAATAAACCATCTATCAAATATCAACCTAAATAGTGAAGAACAGTGTTTGGAAATTAGTGGAAATTCAGATTATTTTCAGTTCCTGTCACTTATTAAAAGCTGTGTCATCAAATGCTGTTCCTAAAAGTTAGCCATTAAATATTCTTTGAACCAACAATTTGCATTCTCTTACCATAGTAACAAACATATTTGTCACCATTTGTCACCACTAGACTGGAGAAAATGTCTAATTCATATTTATATCCTCAGAGATTTGCACAACTGCCCGTCATGTTTCCGATTCTCTGTAAACATTTATAGAATGAATGCCGGTATAAACATTTATCAGCCCACTAAGATCCTGTCAAATATTCTTCCAGAGAAGTCATTCTGTTTCTGAAAATCCAAGAAAAAGACTCAGGATCAGCTCTCCCCACTAAAATATACATGTGGGTGTGTGGCACATGCTTAAAATGGCATTCAAATCGAATGGCGCTCAAAAATATGTAACTCTTTAATTTTTCTGCAAAAATGTATTAAGTAATTTATTTATGCATCTAAAAGAATTTGCTAAGTGTGTAGTATAAGCTGGGTACTGGAGATAGAACATTGAACAAGATAGACAAATCCCTCACATCTTATGACCTAAATGCCACTGAGGAAAGTAGACGGTAAGCAAATGAGCATGCAGGTGATGCCATCAGGATACAGGAATATATCAGTGCAGATGCTCCTCGACTTATGGTGTGTCTACATCCTGATAAGCCCGTTGTAAGCTGAAAGTACATGTATACCTTGTTTTATTGCATTTTCCATTATTGTGCTTCATAGATACTGCTTTTTTTTTTTTTTTAACAAATTGAAGGTTTGTGAAAAGCCTGCATTGAGCAAGTCAACTGGCACCATTTTTCCAACAGCATGTGCTCACTTCATGTCTCTGTGTCAGCATTATTTAGCAATAAAGCATTTTTAGTTAAGGTACATATATTATTTTTTAGACATGATGCACACTTAAACTATAGTATAGAGTAAACATAACTTTTGTATGCACTGCAAAACAAGTAAGAAAATTGTGTATGACTCATTTTATTATGATACTCACTTTATTGTGGTGGTCTGGAGCCAAACCCAAAATATCTCTAAGGTGGGCCTGTATCATAAGTTAAAAAAGTATTTAATACGCCCAATCTACCAAACATCATAGCTTAACCTAGCCTACCTTAAACATGCTCATAGCACTTAAATTAATCCATATTTGGGCAAAATCATTGAACACATAGCCTATTTTACAGTCAGGTGTTGAATATCTCAGGTAATTTGTTGAATTCTGCATATTGTGTGGAAATTGAGATGGTTTTGTACCATTGCAAAGTCAAAAATCCTAAGTCAAACAATGGTAAGTTGGGAACTGTCTGTGCATGTCAGCCAGTGATGAGGGCTTGGGAAAATAGTGAAGCCGAGGGAGGGTCCAAGAGGCAGGGGATGTGATGGGTGAGGGGATGGCGGGTCACAGTGTGTGGTGTTCTAATGAGCTTGTTGGGCAGGACCACATGAGACGAGGACAGCCCAGTGGACCCAAATGAAGAGGGCGAGGCAGTCCTGCAAAGGTCTGGGGCAAGGCTTGGAGGAAGAGCAAGCTTTGTGTGTTCAAATAACTCAAGGCCAGTGGGGCTGCCGCAGGGGGAGAGGAGGAAAGCCTGAAATATCACTCTGGAGAGGGTGGTGACAGCCAGGTCCTGCAAGGCAGAGGACTTGAACTGAATTCCAAATCGACGGGAAACACTGAGGGAGTTTTGAGTACAGGAGGGGCATTACCTGAGTTCTGCTACAACAGTTATCTGCACGCTGTGAGAAAAAGAGACCAGAAGGGAAACAGAAAGACAGGGTGGAGGCGACAGCAGAAATGCTGGTGACAGAAGGTCACAGCTTGGGCAAGAAGAGGAGGAGGGAGGAGAGGTTGACGCCTCTGCGGGCCAGGCATTGCAAAGGATATCATGGAAATATAATATAAGGGCTTATATTTAAGGACCTTGAAATATTATCAAAATGTAAAATATGGAGGAGGGACATAACCATACAAAAGGAAACAAAATAATATTAAGATCCAAAGTGTTCAATTCAGACAACACTATAAATTATATTTCATAGAACTAGTTGGGTTTTCTTTTTGGGTTATTTGATGTGCATTTCAACAAGATGTGTAGCTGTTAAATTTTGAATGATTCCTGTTTTGAAACATACTTGTAATTGTTCCTGGAGTCAAGTCCAGGAAAGCACCATGCTGCATCTGATCACGTGTTTCTCTGTGTCTATAGACAGAAAGTAGGCTGATGGTTGTAGAGAATGGATAAAACTGTGCCACATTAAAGGAGCACAAGAGAAACTGAGAATCCCAAGCAAAAAGAAAAGTAGGTGCAAAGATGGAGACACAGAAGAGCTGTGTGTAATTTAGAAGTAGCAAAGCATTGTCAGTGGGAAAGATTCAGGTAGACCCAAGAAAGCAGCAGAGAGACTGAAGCTAAAACAATTGTTGACAAAATAAGAGACCTGAACTTTATCTTATGAATGATAGGATAAGAATGTGTTCAGGATGTGTTCAGCTGCAAATCTCTCTCACACACATGCACATACACACACATGCACACACACACACACATACTCAAAACTAGCAGCTTCAGAAACAGAGCAGTTTCTTCCTATCACATACAAAGAAACCAGAGGTAGCCAATTCCAGGTTTGTGGCAGCAACATATCAGCGTTATCAAGGACCCAGAACTTCTTCTCTCCACCCTGACAGCTGCAATGCATTGGCTTTTCAAATCCTCGATAACTCACATGGACAAAATGGTAGCTATGGTCCAAGCACTGAATTCCAACGCCAGTGTACTTCAAGCAAGAAGAAGGAGAACACTGTCTTTTATGTTTTAATTTGACTTTTAGGGAACAAAGTCCTTTTTAGGATCCACCTGACACACTTTCCCTTGGGTTCAATGACTGGAGCTGAATTAAATCCCCCACCCATTCATCAGTCACTGAAGAGAAGAACCGTGTGAATATGCTTGGCTTACAATGGTTTTTGTTTTTCTGCTCTTTGGGATGGGAGGCTCAACTCCTCTGAGGAGGTTGTGCTCTGCACAATATCAAGGTTCTTTTAAAATAAAAGGAAAAAAGTTCTATTGGACTAAATGTTTGCTTTCCCTCAAAATTCTTATGTTGAAGCCCATAGTAGTCAGAGATGGAGGCTTTGGAAAGCAGTTAGGGCGAGCTGACGTCATGTGGGCAGAGTTCTCTTGATGGGATCAGTATTTTTTTCTTTCAGACAGAGTCTCGCTCTGTTGCCCAGGCTGGAGTGCAGTGGCACGATCTCGGCTCACTGCAAGCTCTGCCCCCTGGGTTCACGCCATTCTCCTGCCTCAGCCTCCCGAGTAGCTGGGACTACAGGCGCCTGCCACCACGCCTGGCTAATTTTTTGTATTTTTTAGTAGAGATGGGATTTCACCGTGTTAGCCAGGATGGTCTCAATCTCCTGACCTCGTGATCCGCCCACCTCGGCCTCCCAAAGTGCTAGGATTACAGATGTGAGCCACCACACCCGGCCGGGATCAGTATTCTTTTAAACAAAGAAGAGACAAAGGGTCTCTCTCTCTCTCTCTCTGCCATGTCAGAACACAGGAGAAGTTTCTCTGCACACCAGGAAGAGGGCCCTCACCTTAAACTGAATCTGACAGCAACAGTGTCATGAACTTACAGCCTTCAGAACTGTAAGGAATAAATTTCTAAAATGCTACAAAATTTATGATTTTTTTACAGCAACCCTGACTACATCTGCTACAGAAGTTATTGAGAGTTTCTAAGCAAAAGGAGAAAAGTGTTAACTTTATTTTTGAGCATATAACATAGGAGGATAACTACTATCACAAAACAAATCTTGAAAAATGCAACAGAAAGGAGCTGCCATTCGGTGAGTACCTACTGTGTCCTGGCATTTCTATATGCCATTTCAGTTATTTCTCACAATTACCTGGTGAGCTGAATATTATTAATTCCAGTTTTAGAGATGAGGAAGGAAGACAGAGGGGTGAATTCCAAGAGAAGACATGATCTCATGTAAAGATGAATGAACAAAGTTAAGCGTCCCATGCAGTGAAAGTTTATAAACAATTCTGGAGGTTTTCATTTTATGGATCTCTGTAAGAATCAACATTTCAATGAGTCTGCATGCATCCACTGTCAAGCAAGAAAAAAATGTTATTTGGAATTACAATTCATTCACAAGAAAATCATTTATTCTAATAAAATAATTATACGAGCATGGTATGTGTATACAAGCAAAAAATAGTTTTTTCCATAAACAAATTCAAAATCACTCCACCAAAAACCACAACCACAAAGCTAAAGGCACTAGAGAGGAACTAAGTGTGTGTTGAAATAAATCTCCCTACATCATGGAAATAGCCGTAGTATTGAGAAGGGAGAAAGGGAGGAAGGAAACAAGGGAGGGAGGGAGGGAGGAAGAGAGGGAGGGAGGGAGAGAGAGGGAGGGAGGGAGAGAGAGGGAGGGAGGGAGGAAGAGAGGGAGGGAGGGAAGAAAGGAGGGAGGCAGGCCACTCAGATTGGCCATGGAGGGAACAGTGTAGGGGTGGATGTTAAAGAGGCATTTTCTGGCTGGGTGCGGTGGCTCACACCTGTAATCTCAGCACCTTGGGAGGCCGAAGCGGGTGGATCACGAGGTCAAGAGATCAAGACCATCCTGGCCAACATGGTGAAACCCCATCTCTACTAAAAACGCAAAAATTAGCTGGGCATGGTAGTGCACACCTGTAGTCCCAGCTACTCGGGAGGCTAAGGCAGGAGACTCGCTTGAACCCAGGAGGTGGAGGTTGCAGTGAACCGAGAACGCACAACTGCACTCCAGACTGGGCGACAGAGTGAGACTCTATTTCAAAAAAAAGAAAAAAAAAAAAAAAAAAGAATCATTTTCTGTTTTACACACAGTGGTCCCCAAAGGAAGTTAATGTGGTAGATAATCTTTCCAGAACAACATTTGTATGTAAATCAAGTTATACAATCAAACCATCCCCAATGTCCAGGTAAACTGGGCAGTAATTCCAGAAAACTACCCACAGAAAATAAGATACAATTGAAGTACAGAATACCCCTAGTTTTTATTAGAATACCCCCTAGATTTTTGTCTATGCTTAAGATCCAACGGTGACACGCAAGTTTGGTCACTTTCAACTCATTAATTTCTTATATTTCTAACTTTTTTTGTTCTATACAAAAGCCTGAACTATATTTATTTTACTTAAACATCATAATTTAAATGCTATGCTAAAAGAAGAGCAAAGTAATGTGCACAAAGATACGGACATTGAAGCATTCTTTGTTATGGTGAAAATGGAAGAAGAACATAAATGTCAATTAATAGAAAATTGGTTAACTAAAATATAGACTAGCCACACAATACCTTTATTAAAATCACTCCTAGATCTCTGTTTCTGTTGAAATAAAAAACTTCCTTTATATTGTTAGGTGAAAACAGCAGACTATACAACAGCATGTGAATTATAATCTATTTATACAAAATAATATACATATAATCTAAATGTGTATACAAATGTAGAATGATGTCTGGATAGAGGTTTTCTAAAATGGACACTGGTTTCCTTTGACTATCAGAGGATGCTTACTTCTTTTCATGTTTCTGAATTGCTGAGTTTTCTACTATGTGAATGCCTCTCCTTTAGAAAAGTAACAAAGCCATCTATAACAAAAAAAAATCCTAATTGAAATACATAAAAATTTTAACTATGTGGTTAGTAAAATAAAGTAAGCAGTTTTGTTTGTTTGTTGTTTGTTTTTTTCAGAATTCTAGCATGATAAAGCTTATTTCTCTATGGACATGATTTATGATATATTATCAGGAAAAAGAAGTAGAGTCATTTACACCATGGTGACCTCCAGTTTGGTACTCTGCCCTCTAACTCTAACAGAAAGCACATATGTGTCCAAGCAAAGCAACAAGTACTTGGTAGCATTTGTTCTGAGAATCATGTGTTACAGCCATCGGGCATGGCCTTGGAGGTTGTTATTTGAAGCCATTTGAACAGCGGATTCCACTATCTTTGTTTGTCAGATATCAGTGGGTCTCTGAATGTGTCTTCCAACTCCTGTTGCGAGGTAAAGAGACGCTTTCCTCCCAGCCTTGCAGGATGAAGTTTCTACTTGAGTGCTTAAATACAAACAGGAGACACAGGGAAGCCGCGCAGCGGGAAGCGTCATTCACACCCACAGGTTCGCAAATTATCAAGAAAACAAGCCAAAATATTGATGCAGATGGTGTTTTGACCGTTATTTCTGGTCAAGAATGACAACTTAACTGAAAGATTTTAGAAAAAGCTATGTGAAAGCTCTGAAACCAGAGGAATGGACAACTGAGTAAAATAAAACCTATTAACAAGGGAAGAAACAAATTTGTCCACATTTTAGGTCATCCTGCTTCTTTTTATGTGAAAAATAGTATAGATAACAAGATTAATGCTACTCAGAAAACAGAAATGAACCCTAAACAATTTGAAGCCATTTTATACTTTTTATTTGCTAAGGAATCACTTTATAAACCAGAATGGGGGATTAATAGAAGCCCCAAGAGCTTCATTCACTCAAAGGTGCACCATCTATAATTTCATAGCTAGCATGTTCAGAGGCAATGAATTGCACAACCTCTTTGTAATTTTGAAATGTGAAGAAGAACACATGCTCAAGTGGCCTTGCTTCTCTGGAGCGTGAGAGAAAATCACCTGTCATAGAGACTCCGGAGCAGAAGCAACTATGCTGGAAAGTTACCATGTGTTCAACAGGAATACCTAGATCTTACAAATATCATATCTGGAAAATGAATCTTACTGTATTATGTTCTATTGGTGGTGAGGGATGAATTATTATAAATACAGAGCTTAAACCACAACCATTTATTAGCCCTCAGTTTTGTTGATCTCACACAACTGGTTTCTCTGTCCAGGGCTGAAACCAAATTATCACTCAGCTTCTGTTCTCCTCTGGAGGCTTGAGAGAGGAAGAACCACTCCAAGCTCACTCAGGTTGTCAGCTAATTCAGTTCCTCATGGTTGGAGGGCTGAGGTCCCTCCCTGTTTCCTGGCTGGCTGTCAGCCAGGGGCCGCTCTCAACAGCTGGAGGTCTTCTGCATTTCTTGCCACGTGACCCCCTCCATCTTTAAACCCAGCAAGAGAGGCCTTCTCAAGGACTGAATTCCCTCCATGCTTCCCATCCATCCGACAGGGTTACCTGATGAAGTCAGGCCCACCAAGAATACCCTCCCATGTTAAGGTCAATTGTTTAAGAGCCTTAATTACATCTGCACAGTCCTTTCCCTGCAACACATAGGTCAGGGTTTAATTGAATAACTGGAAGGAGGTGTTTGCACATGAGAAACCAAAAATCCCAGGAGTCATCTTAGAAGTCTGCCTACCATCCTCACCATATATCTAATTAAATACAATAATATACCAAAAATATTTAATGCCTTTAACACCGAATCAATACGCATACTGAAAACACCCATCCACTGAAAGTGTATCAAGCTGAACTGTGAACTTTAAAAGATTAATCATGTTTTGGCCAGGCACAGTGGCTCATGCCTGTTATCTCAGCACTTTGGGAGGCCAAGGTGGGAGGATCGGTTCAGCCCAGCCCAGGCAACATAGGGAGACCTTGTCTCTACAAAAAAAAAAAAAAAAAAAAATCTAGCCGGATATGGTGGTATGTGTCTGTGGTCCCAGCTACTCTGGAGGCTAAGATGGGAAGATCTCTTGAGCCCCGAAGGTCAAGGCTGCCGTGAGCAGTGATCATCCCACTTCACTCCAACCTGGGTGACAGAGTGAGACCTTGTCTCTTAATTGAAAAAAAAAAAGAAACAATAAATAAAAGATTAACCATTTTGTATTGAAAAGATATTCAGAAGCAATAGGACATTTCTAATTTAAACACTGGTTAAATAGCTTGCTCATAGATAGTGCTCCACTATATCCAAGCATTTTCACATTCACCAGACTCTATTGTTCACACACACACACACACACACACACACACAATAACTATAGAGGTGGGCGTAAGATGCATCTTCTCAACTTTGCAGTTAAGAAATTTTGGAACAGAGTGATAGAGAAACTTCTTTGATATTACCCAGATGTCCGTGGTCCCAGGGGTCTAGAGATCTATTCTTTTCTCTCTTCCACCCAAGTTGTTCAGAAAGAAAGTTATTTTAGAAAGTGGAAGTGGAGGTTCTGAGAAGTTAAGTAATTTAGCAAAAAATGATCAAGTTTCTAATATGAGCCACAGCCAAATACAGAAATTCTACAAAAAATATATGATTCCCCTTTTACTGGAATAAGATTTGAAAAATGGAACAGATACTATGCACATAGTAAGCTTCCCAAATTAAACTATAAAGAAAATAATTCAATCTCAAAATTAAAACATAAAAATATTTTATATAAATATCAAAAAATCCATTTAGAGTATGAATCATTTCAAAATCCTCAAAATTAAGGGGAACTGACATAATTCTCCTCTTGCATCACAATACAGCCTAAAGTGAACCCTGCTTTGAAAGGATTTAGTAATAGACATTCATCTCCCACGCCCATGGCATAATAATTCCACAACCTGCTTTCTAACTAAAGGACTGACCCTGTTCAAGGCAGATGACTCAGAAGGCCAAAAAAGGTCAAGGCTGAAATGCCAGATTTGGAGATTTAAAGAAAGGTTATTAAGGAGGCCTAACGGATGACCACACACACAAACACACACACACACACACACACACACACACACACACACACACACACAGACACAAAACCAGCTTCATTCTGTGCAGCAATTAATCACAATCATGGGGCAGTTTCACCAGAGGAGCAGAGCAAACAAAGACCCAAAAGCCTGGGCAGCCAGAATGAAGCACACTGTCCGGACAGGCCAGAGTGCCAGTGACTCCTGGATGTGTCCCCAGAAAGCATGGCAATTCCACAGACCAGAATCATGTGGGATGGCCACACAGTGATATCCCACCTGGCTTTCACAAGCAACCACCTACAAAGCTACACAGAAACATTATTATAATATTGAGGACTGTTATATGCAAAACAAATGTCTAAGATGTTGCTCATTTTTTTTTTTTTTTTTTTGAGACAGAGTCTCGCTCTGTCGGCCAGGCTGGAGTGCAATGGCATGATCTCGACTCACTGCAACCTCTGCCTCCTGGGCTCAAGCAATTCTCCTGCCTCAGCCTTCCGAGTAGCTGGGATTACAGGGGAGTGCCACCAAGCCTGGCTAATTTTTGTATTTTTTTTTTTTAGTAGAGATGGGATTTCACCTTATTGGCCAGGCTGGTCTTGAACTCCTCACCTCAGGTGATCCACCCGCCTCGGCCTCCCAAAGTGCTGGGATTATAGGCGTGAGCCACCACACCTGGCCAAGATGCTGCTCCTTGAAAGAAGCCATGACACTGGAACTTAAAAGGTCTCTAATGTACCAGAGAAGTGAGGCTTAGAGCACTTAAATCACCTGCACAGGGTCCCACAGCTGGCAAAAAGAAACTTCAAACTTCAGGCAAAATCCAGGACTTCAGGGGCCTACCAGTGTTATTCCATTAAGGATAATCTCACATACTTGTATTGATTGTTCTCTCACATATTTGGTCCCCAGAGAACACATCCTTTAATCTGAGTATTTGTACAAAGCTCTGCTTGTAACATATGATGTTTGAAACATGAGAGGTGGAGGACTAGAACAGAAACGGGAATTGTCATGAGGAGAAATTGACTAAGGAAAGTCAAATTCATCATGCGACATTTTAGGATGGCTTTTGGTTTTCATAGTTAACTTGTTTTTGACATGTTGACAGTTTTTGACAGCTATGTGTTTTCTCTTTGTAACAAACTGGGGAGAGGGTTGGCATGGAATGTGTAGCCCTACCCCCATCACTGGACTGCGATACCTCACCTCTTGTACTAAAGAGTGACACGCTGGATCTATCCTCTTATTTTATGGGTGCACAGCTACGTTGGGAAGTAAAGTGGTTTTCTCAAGGTCGGTGCTGTCGCTGGGAAGTGACAAGGGCAAGAGTCCTTGACCTGCAGCCTCGGCTCTCAGGGAACAAGCTAGGGTGTGGTCCAAAGGCAAGCACAGTCCTCACAGCTTCCGTCAGCATCGAGAAAACAGACAATTTCAACCCAGTAACACTTAAGGTCCCCTTCAACAATCGTGTTCTGTGATTTTGCATCAGAAGTGAACGTGTATAATGTAAGAGGGACTAAAAGCCTGTTATCTGCTAGTTAAAGGAGCACTGTGTGTTCCAGCTCTACGTGTGTGATAATTGAATGAAGTGCTCCCAGTGAGGAGACACATTATTGAGTAGCGTTTCCTGCTCGGATCTGCATGCATTTTTCGTGTAAGAAGCAGGTCACTTACAATGTGAAAGATGATCTCAAAGGGAATAAATAATTCAGATTGGAAGAAGTTGATGTTTTTACATTCATAGGATAATTGCTAAAATCTGTGTGTATCACAAATGTAATTATATCATAAAAATTCTCCATCCCTTTCTCCTTTCTGCCCACATTACACTGAAATATTCACCATTCATAGGTCTAAGTTGTGTATTAAATGAGACATGGAGGTTTATACATCTAAACCAAAGGAAGGTGTCTCTGAAATACAAATGGAAAAGAAAATCTTATTTACTAGAAAAATATCTGTAATTTTTGCAAAGTCAAGAATATTTAGTAAATGTGAATAATATTAAACCACTGAAAACCACTGTAAATTTCAAAACTGGAAACCTCTTGGTAGCCAGAGAAGCACTGGACTTGCTATGAAAGGGCCTATATTGAGGTTGAGACTGTCCCATTTAGTCAACATAGTTAACTCTAGAGATTCAACTATGTCATCTATACACCTGGAAGATGCAAGAGGACAGGCCTCCAGATGGCCTAGGCCGACCCCGCTCTTCCCCCTCCAGTTTGCAGTTCCCTGGCAGAAGGTGCCAAGAATGCATGGTCCTGAGATAAAGAAGAAATATGCAGAACAACCTACCTGCATCCTCATCGTTCACAGGCAGGATGTTCTGCACTGCTTGTGCTCTGTGACCCAAGTGTCACTCAATGTATGAAACCCAGGGAAGAATCTCTCAGCCGCCATGTGGGGCACATGCAGACATGACTCTGCCTTCATGGGCAACTGCCCTGAGACTTGGAAGACCTGCCTTCCAGTGATCCTAGGCTTCGGTCTCTCCTTGCTTTGTATGAGTCATGAATTTGCTTTGCCTGACTTGTGCAAGCATTCTGTCTCACCTTATTAGACCTAGGAAAATTCAGATTATCCTTAATTTATATATATATATATATATATATATATATATATATATATTATAATAATTCAGTGAGTTTGCTTATTTAAAAAAGTGTTTTATAAACTTGTTTGCTATACATAGTAATTGCTTCTTTAAAACTCTGAATAAAGTTCTCGAGCCATTGATAAAGAAAAATATTTTTAAGTTGAAAAAGTCCAGCAATAGGAGGAGAATCAGCATCATTACTTTTGCTTCAGAAAAATAATAGACAATAAGCAGGTAAGTAAATAAATAAATAAAATAGAGGAAAATAAACCATGAAATGGTGTATGTCACAGTATTTAGAACACTGTAGTTTCAATAGACTCAAGAGGGACAACTTAATGAGCTCAAGGACCCAAGTAACATCCCAGATAGAACAATCGTGTGTAATTAAAGAGCACAGGGTCTGAAGCCGGAGTTCCTAGGTTTGCAAGCTGGTCCACAGTTTGCTAATTGTGGGCAATTATATTAACCCTCAGCCCATCAATTTTCTCCTTAATAAAACTGAGAGATTAATAGTGCTACCTCTTAGTATTTCTGTAAGGGTTAAATTAGTTAAGATGTCGAAAACATTTAAAATAGTCCCTATTACATAGTAAGTGATGTTAGCATTGCTAGTGTGAGGATTTCATAACCTGTTCTTAGATATATCTACCAAAGAAATATAAAATATATCTCAGCAAGCACATGACGTTCAAGTTTGTTTTAGTTACGCATTATTGATTTATACCTAGGCGTTGCTTTGTCCAAATTTTTTTTGCTCTGGTGAAATGCTCTACTATATCATTTAATCAATTTAAGAAGAATATATGCTTCATATAGTCCTGGTGATCTACTGCTCCGTAACAAATGACCCCCAAATTTAGCAGCTTAAAAGTAGATTTTGCTCAAAATTGTGTGGATCATGAATTCTGCAATGACTCAGGCTGACCTGCCTAAGGGTGGAGGATCAACTTCCCAGTAGTTTATTCACTCACATGTGTACATTTTTGCCACCATGGCTTCTCTCCACAATCTGTCTCATTCTCTAGGAGGGGTGAACATATTTTTTTTTTCTAGTGGGCTAGATAAGAAATATCTTGAGCAGTGCAGGCCTAAGAGTCTCTATTGCAACTACTCAACTCCGCTGTTGCAGAAAGGGCAGCCACAGACAACACTAAATAAATGGAGATGTCCAGATTCGGCCCTCAGTGGGGCAGAGTTGACCCCAGGTAAGGATTTGCCCGCCCTGGCTCTTGGGTCTCTCCAAGTGTCTTGGTCTTCCCACAGCACGGTGGCCTCAGGGTAGTCAACCTCCTTCTATGGAAGCTGAAGTTTCATATTAAGAGATGCAGGCTGAAGTCACGGGGATGTTTATGACCTAGTTCCTGAAGGCCCAAGTATGTTACTTTCTCCATCTGTGGATCAGTAAAGTCACTAACACCAGTCCAGATTCAAAGGAATGCAAGTGAATTAGATCTCGTCTCTTAATGGGGAGAGTAGCAAACAACTTATTACCATCCTTGGTCTTTTACACTTACTTAAATTATAAAACAGTTATGTCTTTTATTGTATTTAAAACAAACTCTTCATGTTTCAGATGCTGCCTCCTGTGTTTAAGTTTTGGGGAGTGATAGTGAGCAAGTCCATATTTACACCCTTATGATCTTTGCAATTATATTGATTTCTGGAATTTTAATGTATTATTTCTATGAATATTTACTGTCTATGTGCTCAGAAATGTGCCAGCCTTCACATCTGGCTCAAATACACAATAAAATTCAAGCCACCTGTTTTTGATCAAAAAATTTCCAGTTGTTGAGGGTTTATATTTTTCAAAGTGTAGTTAGAAAGTAGGATGGGATAGAAAGTGAGAGGTACTATTTATAGCAATAGTCACCTTCAGAGAAGAGCCAATTACATTAAATGAAAGATCATTTTGCTCTCTCTAGGACTTGAACAGATGCAGCCATTTAAGGTCAGGCATAAACCAGGACTTAGCCTAGGACCTGGAAAAAAAAAATTAAAAGTGACCCCCATAATAGAGTAGGAAAAATGTGGGAAACATCAAGTAATCAAAGGGAGGAGGAGAGAGGGGAGGTGTGTTCATTTCCTAAGGTTGCCATAACAAATTACCACATACTGGGTGACTTAAAACAGCAATTTATGATCTTCTACAAGAAAATCTACAAGTCTAAAATCATGGTGTGAGTACGGCATGCTCCCTCTAAAGGCTCTAGGGAAGAATGCATCCTTCCCTCTTCCAGCTTCTGCCGGTCACCAGCAATCCTCGGTGTTCTTGGCTTGTAGCCACATCACTCCAATTTCTGCCTACAATGTTACATGGACTTCTTCCCAGTGTGTCTGGCTGTCTCCAATCTCTCTCTCCTTATAAGGACAACAGTCATTGGATTAGGGTCCACTCTAATCCATTATGATCTCATCTTAAATTGACCTTATAACTGCAAAGACTCTGTTCTAAATAAGGTTACATTCACAAATACTGCAGATCAGAGGTACAACATAATTTGGGGGGAACACAATTCAACCCACAGAAAAGGAGATAGAAAAAAGGAAGATGGGCAGGATATGGAGGGAGACTTAAAATACTGCTAAGGAATGGTCATAGAACCATTAAAATATGGATTTTTGTTGCATTTAGAGTTTTTGTTTGTTTTTTGTTTGTTTGTTTTTGCATTTAGAGATGTTTTGCATTGTTTTTATGCAAACCCCTCTCCTACTTTATCCTTCTAACATTCAGGTGTGCCTACAACTCCTGTAGAGGTTTTGTGTGAAGATGATTTTTTAGATTTTCAAAATGGGGCTAAAATTTATATCTGAGTCAATATATTAATAGTATGTGAAAGAGTAACCCATATATGAATGTAGTAATATAATCCATTCACTGAGTAGAGCAGAAGCAGGAGTTAGAAACCAGAGCCATATGATCATCTGTGTCTCACATACATACCAATCTAATTATTTATCCCAAAAATGAAGTACTTTGGCAGGGCGCGGTGGCTCATGCCTGTAATTCCAGCACTTTGGGAGGCTGAGGCGGGCAGATCACCTGAGGTCAGGAGCTCAAGACCAGCCTGGGCAACATGGCAAAAATCCATCTCTACTAAAAATACAAAAATTAGCTGGCCTTGGTGACAGCATCTGTAATCCCAGCTACTCAGGAGGCTGAGGCAGGAGAATCACTTAAACCCAGGAGGTGGAGGTTGCAGTGAGCTGAGATCATGCCACTTCACTCCAGCCTGGGTGACAGTGATAGAGTGAGACTCTGCCTCAAAATAAAATAAAATAAAACAAAATAAGATAAAGCAAAGCAAAGAAATATTTACGTCAAGGAGATAGTGATCGCAACAAAATGACAACTGTGTAAGTTTAGGTACCTGACGCCACTAGCCAAATCCCCAATGCATAATTAACAAATGATTGGCTAAACGCTTTCTTTTCTTTTTTTTTTTTTAGACAGTCTCACACTGTCACCCAGGCTGGAGCACAGTGGTGTCATCTTGGCTAACAGCAACCTCCACCTCTCAGGTTGAAGCAATTCTCTTGCCTCAACTTCCCGAGTAGCTGGGACTATAGGCACCTGCCACCATACCTGGCTAATTTTTGTATTTTTAGTGGAAACGGGGTTTTACCATGTTTAACAGGTTTCTCTCAAACTCCTGACCTCAGGTGATCCACCGGCCTCGACCTCCCAAAATGCTGGGATTACAGGTGTGGGCCATCACACCAGGCCCCAATTGGCTAAACTCTTAAAAGACCCAGGTGATAGTCAAAAACAATTCCGAATACAAAAGTGGCAGGGACTTTTTCTCCGAAAGTGACTTCTGGACCTTAATCTAAGTCCAAAACAGCAGGAAAAGTTTATATCATGCACACACATTTAATATATTTGATGTTTTGTTTGTTCTTTCATATGGAATATTATTAGGAATTATTATATTTTTCTTAAATGTATTGGAATAATAACAGCAAAAGTTTTAGCAAGATTTGCTGATCTAAATAATTATTATAATAATTGGATTTAACTATGTATTATACTTACGTAAAGCAAGTAATTTAAGACAAAATATAATAAATTCAAAATATGAATTCATAACAGGCCTTCGAAAATTTTTCAATTTTTGGCATAACATAAAATTATTATCAGTAGTAAGTAAGAATATCACCTCCATAAATGACATTTCCAATTAAAGAGATTAGATGGCCCAGAATAATTATAAAATGATTATTGAAATGATTGGAGAAAATGCTGAAGTATATTAAAAAGAAGTATGGTTAAAAGCCAATAGGTAAAATAAAATGAAATTTAAAAAAAGATAAGTAATTAAAAATAACTAAGAAAGGAGAAAAACAGTAGAAAGAAGGGAGGGATGCCACATAGAAAACAAATAATAAAGTATATCTAAAGCTAATTATATCAAAAATTGCATTAAATGTTAATGGACAAAACACTACAATTAAAAGTCAGATGTTGAGTGGTTGTTAGAATTCATTTGGACAAGCAATTCTCAGTTATATGCTATCAAATATCCTTCTAATGTTAGGCAAATACAATGATGAAAATGTGTCTCTATATATAATCAGAGGAATAGCAACCTTGAGAAAAGAATGGTTTTATTACTATCAAATAAAATGGATTTTAAGAATATTAGCAAAGAATCAAGAGAGATATTTTCTAATATTAATGGACCAATCCAATAAGAAGACATAACAATCATAAATATATTCGCATCTAAATTATGAACTCTAATATATATGAGTAAATATTTAACAGAATGAAATGAAAAATTTTAAGTTTTAATTTTTCTTAGTACTGAGAAAATTTTCATGTTATGCCTTGAAATATTTAATACTCATTTATAATATTAATAAAAAACATAGAAATTCAAAAAAACAAAACTTCAATACGATAAAAAGAAGCTATGAGAACTTTTAGATTTTATCATACTTAATGGTAAAATGCTGAATGTTTCCCTGAAAGAGCAGAAGCAAGGCAAAAATGCCTATTCTCAACATTTTTACTCAATTTTAAACTCAATATGTTGACCACTACGATAAGGCAAGAAAAAATGTAAAAGACATGTAGATGAGAAAGAGTTAGTAAAATCTCATCTCTTTAAAGAACACGATAATTTACATACAAAATTATCAGATATTTATAAGACAACTAGTAGAACACATAAATGACTTTAACAAGGTTGTAGGTCAAAGTGTCAGTATTGTAAACATGTATATTTTGTAGGCTAATATTAAACTACTATAAAATGGAATGTAAAATAAATTATATTTACAATGAATCAAAATGTATAAAATGCTTATGGGTATATTAATCCAAACATATAAAAGTTTTTTCAAAATTATAGAACATTGCTGAGAAAAATGAAATAATATTTTAATAAATATGTATTTAAAATTATTGTTAAAATATCAATTTCCTCCAAATTGGTAGAAATTAATAGGCTACATTAAAAATTAAATCAAAATTTGAAGATAGAAATTGATAGGTTGATTTTTAAATTCAATAGAAATTTGAAGAAACTAGAATAGCCTAAGCAATTATTAAAATGAAAAACAAAGTTGGAGAAACTTTCTACCTAATTTCAAGATTTAATCTACAGTATTCGACACAGTTTGATATTGGCTGTGATGTTGGCTAAATAACACACATTTAGAACAGTAGAACAGAAGGAAAATTGAGAAATAGACTTATATATATGATCAGTTGATTTATGCTAAAGATAGCAAGAAAATTCTGTTTTACATAAATTAGAGATCCAAATTTCAATTTAAAATTATAGAATTCCTAGAATAAATATGTGAACAAATCTTTCTGACCTAATATTAGTACTTATTCCATTAACATTAAACATGCACTATAAAAAATATGTATTGGAGTTCAAATTTTTCTCTTTAATAATTTTTCTCTTCAATTTTTCTCTTTCTTCAAGAAACAAATATACAAGTCACATAATACATACTTTGAATTCAATCATAAGTAAACATTAGGCAAATCCAAGTCAAAAGACATTCTAATGCAAAACTGGTTTAAATTTTTCAAAACTCTACATAGAATGCCAAAACATATTTTCCTTTTGAATGTGGAAGCAATTTTTTTAATGTTTAATTCAACATTGTAACAGAGGTCCTAAAGAGTGAATAAGGGAGGGAAAGAAATAAAAAGTTATGAAGTTTAGAAGTAAAGAAATTAAACTTTCCATCATAAATTACAAGATTTTACATAAAGAAATCAAAAATAATCCATAAGGAAATGATCAGGACTAATAAGTAAATTCAGCAAAGTTACTACCTCAAGTATATTTCTAAATTCCAGCATCAAAATAAATAAAGAATTGAAATAAATATACTAATTATATACCTACAAAACATAAAATTCTAATATCCAGGAAAAACGAGCTATGTGCACAAGCTCCACATGACAAACACCAAAATATACATTAAAATCTGAAAAAACACTGTGAAGAAAAATTCAAGGAATATCTTTTAAAAATGAAGAGCTATATTGATTTCATAGATTGCATGGATTGAAAAGCTCACTATTGTCAACGTTACCATTCTCTCCAACTTAACATATAGTTTCAACAAAATTTCAGTCAAAATTTCAGAAAGCTTTTCCCACAAATATGGACAGAAACATATGAAAATACAAAAGATTGTAAATACTCAAATTTATGCATGTGTTTTAAAACAAAATTCAATAACTCATATAACTTAATTTCTAGATTCACCAGCTACACAAAGCTAACATTGGCGTAAAAATAGACATAGATTAAAGGTAGAATTATTTATTAAGAAATATACCCATATACATGTGGTCAGTTGATTTCCAACAAAGGCACCAAGGCAATTCAATCAGAAAGGAAAAGTTATTCAACAAATGGTACTGGCAAACCAAATATTCATATTAAAAAAAGAAAAAAAAAAGAGACATTGACACTGACTTAACACCAATGCTAAAATTAACCGAAAATGATTAACTGCAATGAAGAAGCTTTAGAAAAAAACAACATAGCTTCATGCCTTTTTAGTAGACAAAGATTTATTTAATGCAATAAGCACTATCAAAAAATTAATAAAGTCGATGTATTAAAATTAAGCAAAACAAATTTTAAATACAAATTTAAAATTGAGAGTGGAGGCAGAGAAAAGCGGCTGAATAGAACTCCCCAGAGATCACCTCCCAAAGAAACACAAAAATGAAGAACTATTCAGTCAACAAAGCACTTTCATAAGAATAAAAAATTAGATGGGCAATCGTAGTACCTGGTTTTAGCATAATATCAAGGAAAGAGGCATTGAAAAGAGTAGGAAAGACAGTGTTGTATTTCCTATACCACCCTTCCCTATCTTCCATCAGTACCATGTGAAAAGAAAATCTGCGTTTTTGGGGGAGGGAGAATAAAGTAAATGTGGAACTTTGCATTGGAACTCCGTGCTTCCTTATCACAGAGGAACACATCACAGGGAAGAATTCTGCTGGTGCCTACAGAGGAAGCATCTAGACTACCCCTAGATTCAGAGGGGAATATTCCACCCCAGCAGAAAGATCCTGAATCCTGGCTGGCTCCACTAGCATCTAACTAAAGAGGCCTGGGGCCCAAAATAAATTTGAGTGGTAGTAATGCCACAAGGACTGCAGTCTTTGAGTAAACCTTCTCTGGAGCTGCATTGTTAGAAGCAGTGGGCTTGGGGTGGGCATTACCCATGACCAAGCTGTGGTAGTCAAGACAGTACTCACATTACTCTCTCACAACTGCAGGCTGTGTAGCTTGGAGGGAGAGTCCTTTCATGTGCTGAAAGGAGAGGGAAGAGTACGGAGGACTTTGTCTTGCAACTTGGGTACCAGCTCAGCCACAATAAATTGCCAAGAAGTTTCCTGAAACCTCCAGTTCCAGGCCTGAGCTCCTGCATGGCATTTCTAAGACAACAATGGGACCAAAAGGAATCCACTGCTCTGAAGGGAAGAACACAGTCCCGACAGAATTCACAACCTGCTGACTAAAAAGAGCACTTGGGCTTTGAATGAAGATCAGCAGTAGCCAGGCACTAGTCACCACAGGCCTTGGATGAGACCCAGTATTTTGCTGGCTTCAGTGGAGTGCCAGCTGTGGTAGCCATAAGAGTTCTTGTGTCAATCCTCCCCCAATGTCAGTCAGCCCAGCATGGTGGGAAACTCCTTCTAATTGGGAGAAAGAGAGGGAAGAGAGTGAGAGACTGCCTGGTTATCCAGGGGATTCTGTTACCCAAGCCCATCAAGGTGATATCTCTAGGATTCAGGAAGAGTTACACCATTCCTGGGTTTAGGGTACCCATAGTGTAATATGGTTGCAGTGATCATAGGCTTAGGTCCCAAAACTCAATCCCCTTGGAATATGTAGAAAGCCTTCTAAAGAAGGACAGATACAAACAAGTCCAGACTGTGAAGATAGAAACAAACACCTAACTTGCAAAGCTCAGACATCAATCAACATTCACAAGCATCAAGAACATCCAGGAAAGCATGAACTCACCAAATAAACTAAGTAAGGCACCCATCAATAATCCTGAAGTTATGGAGAAATGTGATCTTTTAGACAGATAATTCAAAGTAGCTGTCTTGAAGAAGTTCAACAAACTTTAAAATAACACAGAGAAGAAACTCAGAATTCTATCAGAGAAATTTAACAAGAGATTAAAATCATTTTAAAAATTAAGCAGAAATTCTGGAGCTGAAAAATACAATTGACAAACTGAAAAGTGCATCAGTCAACAGTAGAATTGATCAAGCAGAAGGAATACTAATGAGCTTGAAGAGAAGTTACATGAAAATACACAGAGAACAAAAAAAGAAAAAACAGAATAAAGCATACCTATGGGATCTAAAAAATAGCCTCAAAATAGCAAATATAACAGTTATTGACCTTAAAGAGGATGTAGACAGAGAGAGATTGACATAGAAAATGTATTAAAATAAGTAATACTAAGAAAGATATGACTAGCTAGGTACAAGAAGTCATAGAACCCCAACCAGACTCCACCCAAATAAGACTACCTCAAGGAATATATTAAACTCTCAAAGGTTGAGGATACAGAAAGGATCCTAAAAGCAGGAAGAGAAGAATTCTGCTGGTGCCTACAGAGGAAGCATTTAGACTACCCCTAGATTCAGAGGGGAACATTCCACCCCAGCAAAAAGATCCTGAATCCTGGCTGGCTCCAGGATTCTATGTTAATAACATAGAAAAAAGCTTCAATATATCTAGTAGCAAACTTCTCAATGGAAACCTTACAGGCCAGGAAAGAGTTGGATGAGATATTCAAGGTTCTGAAGAAAATAAATTAAAACAAACAAACAAACAAACAAACAAACAAAAAGTTCAATTGAGAACATCGTAACAAGGAAAATTAATCTTCAAACATGAAGGATAAATGCTTTTAAAGACAAAACAAAAGCTGAAAGACTTTTTTAACACTAGATCTGTCTTACAAGAAGTGCTAAAGAAGCTTTTCAATCTAAAAGAAAATGACATTAACGAAAAGAAATCATCTGGAGATATAAAACTCACTGATAGGCCAGGCAAGGTGGCTTACACCTATAATCCTAGCACCTTGGGAGACCAAGTCAGGAGGATCACTTGAGGCCAGAAGTTCAAGACCAGCCTGGGCAACATGATGAGACACCATCACTATAAAATTAAAAAAGAAAAAAAACAGCTCAGTGTGGTGGCCTGTGCCTGTGCTCCTAGCTACTTGGGAGGCTGAGGTAGGAAGACTGCTTGAGCCCAGGAGGTTGATGCTGTAGGGAGCTGTGTTCACGCCAATGCACTCCACCTGGGTGAGAGCACAAGACTCTGTCTCAAAAAATAGGTAAATGAATACATAAATAAACTGACTGGTATTAAGTACACACAAACACAGAATACTCTGACACTTGAATTACAGTGTGTAAACCACTCAAATCTTGAGTAGGAGAATTAAAAGACAAGTCTATCAAAAATAATAACTACAACAACTTTTTAAGAAACAAATAGTATAAAAAGACAGAGACAACAAAAAGTCACAAAGCACGGAGGATGGATTTAAAGTATAGAGTTTTGTAGTTTTAGCTTTGTTTTTGTTTTAATTTTCTGATCAGAGTTAAATTGTCAGAATAAAATAATTGGTTATAATATGTTATTTGAAAGCCTTATAGTAACTACAAAACAAAAATTTATAACAGATACATAAAAAATAAAAAGTAAGACATTAAAACATACTTCCAGAAAAAAAAAAAACACTGATATATAAAGACAGAAAAGAAGAACGAAAGAAAGAAAGAATGAAAGAAAGACCAACAATACAGCCAGATAACAACAGAATGTCAGGAGTAAGTCCTTACTGATCAATAAGATTGAATGTGAATGGACTAAATTTTCCAATCAAAACACATAGAGTGGCTGAATAGATTAAAAAACAAGAGCCAACTATACGCTACCTACAAAAAGAAAACTCACTTCACCTATAAAGACACACATAGACTGAAAATAAAGGGATGGAAAAAGATATTCCATGCAAATGGAAACCAAAATAAGAGCAGGAGTAACTATTCGCGTATCAGACAAAATATATTTCAAGACAAAAACTGTAAAAAGTGACAAAGAAGGTCATCATATAATGATAAAGGAGTCAATTCAGCAAGAGGTTATAACAGTTGTGACTATGTATGTATCCAACACTGGAGCATCCAGATATAGAAAGCAAATATTTTTAGAACTAAAGAGAGAGGGAGATCCAAATACAGTAGTACCTGGGGGCTTCAAAATCCCATTTTCAATATTAGACAGATTATCCACACAAAAAAACATCTATAAAGAAACTTTGGATTTAATCTGTATTATAGACCAAATAAACCTAATAGAAATTTATAGTACATTTCATCCAGCAACTGTAGAATTCATATTCTTCTCATCCGCATATGGAACACTATCAAGGATATACCATATGTTAGGGCACAAAACAAGTCTCAAAAATTCAAAGAAAAATCAAAATCATATGAAGTATCTTGATATAGTTTGGATGTTCCCTCCAAATCTCATGTTGAAACATAATTCCCAATGTTAAAGGTGGGGCCTGGTGAGAGATGTTTGGGTCATGGGGGCTGATCCCCTATGAATGGCTTGGTGTTGTCCTAAGAATAGTGAGTTCTCATGAGAACTTGTTATTGAAAAGTGTGTGGTGCCTCCCTCCTTGCTCTCTTTTGCTCCCACGCTAGCCAAGTGAGACACCTGCTCCCCCTTAAATTTCCACCATGATTGTCAACTTCCTCAAGCCTTCATCAAAAGCAAATGCTGGAGCTATGCTTCTATAGCTTGAAGAACCATGAGCCAATTAAATCTCTTATCTTTATCAATCATCCAGATTTAGGTATTTTTTACAGCAATGCAAAATGGCCTAACACAGTAAATTAATTCCAAGGAGGAAGTTGTTACTAAAAATATACTTAAAAATCTGGAAGTGACTTTGGAACTGTGTAACAGGCAGAGGTTGGAAGAGTTTGGAGGGCTCAGAAGAAGATAAGAAGATGAGGAAAAGTTTGAAACTTCTTAGAGACTGGTTAAATGGTTGTTACAAAATGCTGACGGAAAATATGGATAATAAAGGTCAGGCTGAGGAGGTATCTGATGGAGCTATTGGAAACTAGAGTAAAGGTCACCTGTGTCACACCCGAGAAAAGAACTTGGCGGCATTGTGCTCATGTCCTAGGGATCTGCAGAAGATTGAACTTAAGAGTAATGTCTTAGGGTAACTGACAACAGAAGAAATTTTTAAGCAGCAAAGCACTTCAGATATGGCCTGACTGCTTTTAAGCGTCTACAATCAGACATGAAAACAAAGAAATGACTTAAAGATGAAACATTTAAAAGGGAAGCAGAGTATAAAAGTTTGAAAAATTTGCAGCCTGGCCATGTGGCAAAGAAAGAGAAAGGATTTTTGGGAGAGGAAGACAAGCAGGCTGTGAAGCAACCACTTGCTAGAGAAATTAGCATGATTAAAAGCAAGCTTAGTGTAAACATCCAAGACAATGAGAAAATGGCCTCACGAGCATTTCAGAGATCTTGGAGACATCCCCTCCCATCACATAACAGAGTCCTAGGAGGAAAAAATGCTTTCAGAGACCACACATTCCTGCCTGAGCAGCCTCAGGATACTACTCCCCACATCCTGGCTACTCTAGCTACAGCTGCAGCTCAAAGAGCCCCAAGTACAGCTTGGGCCACAACTCTGGAGGGTGCAAGCCAGAAACATGGGCGGCTTTCACATGATGCGAAGCCTGTGGTTGCACAGTATGCAAGAATAAGGAAACTTGGCAGCTTCCAGCTAGATTTCAGAGAATGTATGAGAAAACCTGGGTTCCCAGGAATAAGCCCACTGCAGAATCAGAGCTTTCACAGAGAACCTCTACTATAGCAATGCTAAGGGCAAATGTAGGGGTTGGAGGCTCCATAGAGAGTCCCCACCAGGACAATTTCTTATGGGAAAGAGGCTGCTGCCCTCCAGAACCCAAAATGTTAGGTCTACCAGCAACTTGCATGCTGTACTTGGAAGAACTGCAGACTTCCAACTCTAACTTATGAGAGTAGACTTGGGGGCTGCACCTTGCAGAGCCACAGGGGCAGAGCTGGACCAATGTGACTTTGATACAGTACATAACGTCTAAAGAGATTTTCTGGAGCTTTAAGATTTAGTGACTACCCTGCTGGCTGTCAGACTAGCGTGAGGCCTATTGCCCCTTGCTATTGGCCCATTTCTGTCTTTTGGAATGATAATGTTTACCCAATACCTGTACTATCATTGTATCTTGGGAGTACATGACTTAATTTGATTTTACACGCTTCTAGGTGGAAGGACATGAATCTCAGATGAGACTTAGAAGTTTGGACTTGATGCTGGGATGAGTTAAGACTTTTGGGGACTATTGGCAAATGATGATTATATTTTACAACATGAGAAGGATATGAGATTTGAGGGGCTAGAGGTGTAATATTATTGTGACGTTTTTCCCCTCCAAATTTCATGTTGAAATGTAATCTCCAATGTTGGATATGGGCCCTGTTAGGAGGGGTTTGGGTCATGGTTTCAGATCTCTCATGAATGGCTTGATGCTTTCTGTCAGGCCTCTGAGCCCAAGCCTGCATGTATACATCCAGATGGCCTGAAGCAAGTGAAGAATCACAAAAGAAGTGAAAATGTCTGGTTCCTGCCTTAACTGATGACATTACCTTGTGAAATTCCTTCTCCTGGCTCAGAAGCTCCCCCACTGAGCACCTTGTGACCCCGGCCCCTGCCCGCCAGAGAACAACCCCTTTGACTGTAATTTTCCACTATCTACCCAAATCCTATAAAATGGCCTATAAAATGGACTCAGCCCGCCTGCAACCAGGTGATTAAAAAGCTTTATTGCTCACACAAAGACTGTTTGGTGGTCTCTTCACACAGATGCATGTGACACTTTCCTTGCAATAGTGAGTTCTCACAAGATCTGGTTGTTTAAAAGTGTGCAGCACATCCCCCCCTTGCTCTCTCTTGCCCCCACTCTTGCCCTCTTCACTTTGGCTACCATGACTGTAAGCCTCCTGAGGCCCTCACCAGAAGCAGATAATAAAGACATCATTGTACAGCCTGCAGAACTTTGAGCCAATTAAACCTCTTTTCTTTATATATTATCCACTTTCAGGTAATTCTTTATAGTCACACAAAAATGGCCTAATACATATCTTTTATGACCACAATGGAATAAAACTAAGAATCACTAATAATAGAAACTTTGGAAACTATAAAACATGGAAATTAAACAGTATGCTCCTGAAAGACCTTTGGGTCAATGAAGAAATTAGGAAAGAAACTGAAGAATTTTTTGAAACAAATGAAAATGAAAACACAACATACAAAAACCAATGGGATACAGAAAAAGCAGTACTAAGGGTAAGTTGTATTAGTCCATTCTTACACTACTATAAAGAATACCCAAGACTGGGTAACTTATAAAAACATATATGTTTAATTGACTCACAGTTCTGCATGTCTGGGGAGGCCTCAGGAAACTTACAATCATGGCGGGAGTAGAAGCAGGCACTTTCTTCACAAGGTGGCAGGAGAGAATGAAATGTGAACACAGGAAAAACTGCCACTTTTAAAACCATCAGATCTCATGAGACCCACTCGCTATCATACAAACAGCATGGGAGAAGCCAGCTCCATGATCCAACCACTTCCCTCCCTCAACATGTGAGGATTTCAATTCCCTCCCTCAACATGTGAGGATTTCAATTCCCTGCCTCTACATGTGAGGATTACAATTTGAGATGATATTTCAGTGGAGACAAAAATCAAACCATTTCATACGTTTATTAAAATAAGTGTCTACATCAAAAAGTAGAGATATTTCAAATAAACAATCTAACAATGCATCTTAAAGAACTAGAAAAGCAAAAGCAAACCAAACCCAAAATTAATAGAAGAAAATAAATAATAAAAATCAGAGCAAAAATAAATGAAATTGAGACTAAAAAATTATACAATAGGTCAACAAAACTAAAAGTTGCAATTGTTTTGAAAGATAAACAAAATCAACAAACTTTAGCCAGACTAAGAAAAAAAGAAAGAATACTTAGATAAATCAGAGATGAAAGAGGAGACATTATAACTGATACCACAGAAATTCAAAGAATCATGAGACTATTACAAGCAACTATATCCCAGTAAACTAGAAGACCGAGAAGAAACGGATGAATTCCTAGGCACATATAGCCTAACCAAGATTGAACCTTGAATAAATCCAAAACCTGAATAGACTAATAACAAGTAATGACATAGAAGCAATAATAAATAGTCTCCCATCCAAGAAAAGCTCAGAACCTCATTGTTTCACAGCTGAATTCTACCAACCATTTAAAGAACTAATACTAATCCTACTCAAACTTGTCCAAAAAATTGAGAAAGATAGAATACTTCCAAACTCATTCTATGAGGCGAGTATTATGCTGATACTAAAACCAGACAAAGGAACCAAATAAAATAAAATTACAAGCCAATGTCTCTGATGGAAATAGATGCAAATACTATCAACAAAATACAAGCAAGCTAAATTCAATAACACATTAAAAACATCATCCATCATGACCAAGTGGCATTCATCCTCAGGAGGCAAAGATGATTCAATATATGCAAATTGATAAATGTGATACATCGTATCTGCAAAATTAAGGACAGAATCCATGCGATCATTTCAATTGATGCTGGAAAAGCATTTGATAAAATGCAACATTTCTTCACGATAAAAACTCTCAAAAAACTGGGGATAGAAGAATATACCCCAACATGGCAAAAGCCATACACAACAAACCCACAGCTAGTATCATACTGAATGAGGAAAAACTGTAAGCCTTTCCTTTAAGATCTAGAATAAGACAGGGATAACCACTTTCACCACTTCTACTCAATATAGTACTGGAAGTTCCAGCCAGAGCAATCAGACAAGAGAAAGAAATAAAAGGCATCTGAATTGGAAAGGAAGAAGTCAAATTATCCTTGTTTACAGATGATATAATCTTATATTTAGAAAAACCTAAAGACACCACCAAAAAACTATTAGAACGGATAAACATATTCAATAAAGTTGGAGGATACAAATCAACATACAAAAATCAGTAGTATTTCCATATGCCAACAGCCAACAATCTAAAAGAAAAAACAACCAAGAAGTAATCCCACTTACAATAGCTATAAGCAGAATAAAATAGCTTGGAAAAAACTTGACCAAAAAAATTGAAAGATCTCCACAGTGAAAGCTATAAAATGCCAATGAAATAAGTTGAAGAGTACACACATACAGAAATGAAAATGTATTCTATGTTCATGGATTGGAAAAGTCAATATTGTTAAAAGTATCTATGCTACCTAAAGAAATATATAGATTCAATACAATTCTTATCAAAATATCAATGACATTCTTCACAGAAATAGAAAAAAAAAATCCTAAAATTTACATGGAACTGCAAAAATCCAGAATACCCAAAGACATACTGAGCAAAAAAGAACAAAGCTGGAAAAATCACATTACCTGACTTCAAATTATACTACAAAGCTATAAGTAAACAAAACCACATGGTACTGGCATGTAGACTAATGGAGCAGAATAGAAAGCCCAAAAGTAAATCTGCATTTAAATCCAACTCATTTTTGACAAAGGTGCCAAGAATATACATTAGGAAAAGGACAGTTTTCTTCAATAAATGGTGCTGAAAATTAGCAATCCATATACAGAAGAATGAAACTGGACCCCTCACTTTCACTAGATGCAAAAATCAAGTGAAAGTGGTTAAAGACTTAAATCTAAGACCTGAAGCTATAAAACCATGGAAAGAAAACATTGAGGAAACTCTCCAAGACATTGGTCCAAACCAAGATTTCTTAAGACCCTCAACACACAGGCAACCAAAGCAAAAATAGACAAATGTGATGACATGTAGTTTAAAACCTTCTGTACAGCAGAGGAAACAGTCAACAAACTGCACAGACAACCCACAGAATGGGAGAAAATGTTTGCAAACCATTCACCCAACAACATATGTTCTGATTAATAACCAGAACATGTAAGGAACTCAATAGAAAAAAAAAAAATCACCTGATTAAAAATGGGTAAATGATCTGAATAGACAATTCTCAAAAGAAGATGTACAAATGGCCAAAAAATATATGAAAAAGATGTAGAACATCACTAATATCAGAGAAACACAAATCAAAACTGTGGGATATCATCTCACTCCAATTAAAATGGCTTTTATCCAAAAGACAGGCAATAATAAATGCAGGTAAGAATGCAGAGAAAGGAGAAACATTTGTACCTTTTTGGTTGGAATGTAAATTAGTAGAGCCACTATGGAGAACAATGTTGAGGTTTCTCAAAAAACTATAAACAGAGCCATTGTATGATCCAGCAATCTCATTGCTAAGTATATATCCAAAATAAATTCCAAATCAGTATACCAAAGATGTATCCTCATTTCTATGTTTACGGCAGCACTATTCACAATAGCCTAGGTATGGAATCAACCTAAGTATCCCTCAGTGGATAAATGGGTAAAGAAATGTGGCACAGACGCAGGGCACGGTGGCTCACGCCTGTAATCCCAGCATTTTGGGAGGCTGAGGCAGGCGGATCACGAGGTCAGGAGATCGAGATCATCCTGGCTAACACAGGTGAAACCCCGTCTCTACTAAAAATATAAAAAAATTAGCCGGGTGTAGTGACGGGCCCCTGTGGTCCCAGCTGCTGGGGAGGCTGAGGCAGGAGAATGGCGTGAACCCGGAAGGTGGAGCTTACAGTGAGCCGAGATCGTGCCACTGCATTCCAGCCTAGGCTACAGAGCGAGACTCCGTCTCCAAAATAAAAAAATAAAAAATAAAAAATAAAAAAAAAATGAAATGTGGCACAGACACAATAGGATAATATTCATCCATTTAAAAAAAAGAAATTTCATGTAATTTGCAATGACATGGGTGGAACACCAGAACGTTATGTTACAGAAAATAAGTCAGACACAGTAGGACAACTATGACATGTTCTCACTTATAGGTGAAAGTTTAAAAAATTGACCTTGGAGGTAGAGAGTGGAATGATGGCTACCTGAGGCTGGGAAGGGTAGTGGACAGAGAGGATAAAATGGGGATGGTTAATGGGTACAAAATTATAGTTAGAGAGAAGGAATAAGATCTAGTATTTGATAGCACAATAGGGTGACTATAGTTAATAATTTATTGTATATTTTAAAATAAGAGTAGAATTAGAATTAGAATGTTGTGTCAAGGGGTCAGGGGAGGGAGAGCATGAAGATAAATAGCTAATGCATGTGGGGCTTAATACTTAGGTGACGGGTTGATAAGTGCAGCAAACCACCATATCACACGTTTACCTATGTGACAAACATGCACACCCTGCATGTCCGGAACTTAAAATAAAATGTAAAAAATATAAAAGAATTAGAATGTTGCTAAAACAACAAATAAATAAATAAATCTTAATGTGATGAATACCCCAATTACTCTGATTTAATCGTTACACATTGTATGTATCAAAACATTACCGGTATTTCATATATACAACTCCCTAATAATTAAAAATAAAAAATTTAAAAATTAAGAAATTTTGCTGTGAAAATAAGAGTTAGAAAAAGGTGAACCAGGTATTTTAACAATATAAAATAAACACATAAAGTATTTATAAAGATATAAAATAGCATATAAGACAAGGAATTTATATCGATAACATAAAATGTGTTTTTACAAATCAATGTTAAAAATACATATAACTGAGTAAAAATTAAGGCTGAGGATCTGAACTTTAGGTTTTCATATCCCAAATGAAGCTATTCTCTTGGTCAAATAGCATGTGAAAATAATAAAATGGTATTTTGTAGAAAAATTTAAACCATAATGACATATCAATACATACATATCAGAATGGCTAAAATAAAGACAAGTGACAGTAACAAGTATTACCTAAAGTGGTTTGAGCAAATGGAACTCTCATATATTGATGATGTACATGTACATTCAAAAGACAAATATAAATATATGTTTGGCAATATTTATGACACAGCAACTCTGCCACTCCTTTAGATATATCCTAGAAAAAGAAAGCATATATTTATCAAAGACAGATGCAAAAGTGTTGACAGAACCATTATTCTTAATAAAGAAAAATTAATAGAAGTAATCCAACTATTTACAGAAATAATTGGAGAATAAATAAGTAAATTGTGGTCCATACACACAATGGACAATTACACAGCAATAAAAATATAACCATTTCCATCAAAAAACAACATCATCAAGGATCTCACAGAAATAACAATAAAGTAACTGAAAAAAAGAGTCATGAATAACTGTACACTCTGTGAGTTCATTAAAACCTGGAAAACTAATACATGATGATAGAAATAGGAATGATGGTTAGTTACTTTAAGTGAGAGGCACTGAATAGAAAAGAGCCTTACAGCTTTCTGAAGTGTTGAAAAATTCTACAAGTGATTTATGTGGTGGCTAAATAGGCTAAATACATTGATTTGTATACTGAAGATATGTGCATATTAATATACATATGCTATATCTCATTAAAACATTTTTAAAAGCAGAAAGCAAAATAAGGGTTCAATCTGTGACTTTTTGTGTAAAAGGAGGATAAAAATAACGATGCATATTTTATTTTTAGTGTTGTTATTATGAAACACTATTACATATAAAATATTAATTGAAATGTTGGAATAGTGAGAGAGAAGAAATCAATTAAGAATGGTTGTGGAATGAGGCTCCTCGTATAGTTGTATATAGTTTTGATTTTTGAATCCTGTGAACACATAATTCTAAAAACACTAAATTTAATTTTAAAATTTCTAAATATAAATTATAGGCTCAGAGCTTTTTTTTAAAAAAAGTATTTTTTTATGCACAGATTTTTTTTATTGGGTGCTTGAGCATGCAAACATATTTTCATCCCATCTCCTGTAAGTTATCTTTACTCTATTTCAAATTTGAAAATGAAAATTGTGCTGAGCTCTGCTTGGAGGTAGTTGTGATGCTGTGAACCCCAAATATCTTAGACAGATCTCAGTCAATTTAAGTTTATTTTGCCAAAGTTAGAACATGTGCCCATGACACAGCCTCAAGAGGTCTTGGCGACATGTGCCCAAGATGGTTGGGACACAGCTTGGTTTTATACATTTTAGAGAGACATTAGACCTCAATCAATATATGTAAGATGTACAAAAGATGTACAATGGTTCCGTACAGAAAGGTGGAACAACTCGAAGCAGGAGGGGACTTCCAGGTCACAGGTAGGTTAGGAAGCAAAAAGTTGCATTCTTTTGAGTTTTTAATTAGCTTTTCCAAAAGAGGCAATCAGATATGCATTTATTTCAGTGAGCAGAGGGATGACTTTGAGTTGTCTGTCCTTTGTCCACAAGGAGATTCCTTGTGAGGGAGGTATGTAGCTTTTTTGTCTTAGTAGCTATCTTTTTAAGGAATAGAATGGAAGGCATATTTGCCCTCAACAGTTCCCGGATTGACTTTTTCCTTTGGCTTCATGATTTCAGGGGTCCAAGATTTATTTTACTTTCACAATGCTATATTTTGTTCTGCTTTGTTCATCTCTACCCAACCGTCTTGGTGCACATTATGCCACATATCTGCCAGAGGTGGGAAATGCATAGATGTTATGTAATCAATCCAGATACAACTAACATCAGAACTTTAGGTTTTTATGTTTGACTGGAATACTTTGGGGAATGAAAGAAGGTAACTTAAATGGCTTGGTCACCAGTTCTAAGATGGTCCCCAGTGATTCCTGGTATTCATGTCCTTGTGCCATTCCCCCACCAACCCAACAACACTGTACCAGGGCTGTTCTGTGTCATCAGTAGTAGTAGCATAAAGTAGAGGTGATAGGATATCACTTTCAACATCAGGTGATGGAAAGACACAGCTTCCACTGTGGTGCATGTTCTACCTCTGTCTCTCTTGCTCATTCTTGAATCATTAGCTCTATATAGTCTTTGATGGCATATAGTTAGTTCTCTCAAAAATATAATATCCACTAAATATTTTGAATAAATGAAAAAAAATTTACACAATAAAAATTAAAAGCTTTATATATTTTAATAAAAATATAATTATTAGAATTTAAAATGTGTGTGGGGGGGTGGTGGGTGTGTTGTATGGGAGGGTTAAAATGCCATTCCAGAACCCAGAATCCTTTTTTTCTTTTTTTTTTTGAGACAGAGTCTTGCTCTCTTGCCCAGGCTGGAGTGCAGTGGCGTAATCTCAGCTCACTGCAACCTTCGCCTTCTGGGTTCAAGCAATTCTCCTGCCTCAGCCTCCTGAGTAGCTGGGATTACAGGCATGTGGCAGCACGCTCAGCTAATTTTTGTATTTTTAGTAGAGACAGGATTTTGCTATGTTGGCCAGGCTGGTCTCGAACTCCTGACCTCAGGTGATCCGCCTGCCTCGGCCTCCCAAAGTGCTGGGATTACAGGTATGAGCCACCGCACCCAGCTGAACCCAGAATCTTTTTAACAGAATTAAAGATGTTGGAATAATAACTTTTCTGGAACAGAAGATATCTGTGCTGCTTATTTTTTATATACTTATTGTTATTCGTGTTTTCATTTAGTGAATGTTTTTGCACACTTTGAAAGTACCTGACACTTTTTGGAATCTTGGAGATGTAAAGATCAAAAGACATTCCTCACTTTTGGAAGCTCTATCTAGCAGAGTGATTACTTCTATGGCATGCCTATCAGCACCTCCCACTGGAGGACCCTTGCTTCTCTTCTCCATCACATTCCCTACTGCTAACACAGAGCCATATGAATGGGCATGGAATGAGAGAAAACTTAGTGAGAGGCTCACTTTTTAGTACTAAGACTGGAACTTGAGTCTAGAACTGTCTTATTTCACGATTCATGTATTTTCTTTTTTCTGTTACGCAACTCCATATTATAAAGAATATCTCTGAGACACATATTCAATTAGAAAAAAGAAAATCAGAGTATTTATAAGCTGTGTCTATCAATGAAACCTTCCAAATATTTATCATTTATTTTGTACTAACAGATGTCATAGTCTTGCCTTTCTCTTCATGTATTTATCAGAACCTAGAGCAGCTCTGTTAGGTTTATTTATCCTTCCAATGGATCTCCGGCAATCACATGTCTCTGATGATAAGCTGGTCTATATACTGGGGATAATTGAAAATAATAAAAATTTTGAAGAACAAAGGAGTCCTTGGAAACCAAAGACACCCTACAGCAGTAGGCAACCACACTTAGTCAGATTTAAATCACAAAGACCTCATTAGAATGTCCTTGTTCTGCTGTAGTTAACATTTGATTAGGTGGGTGCCTGGAGTTACTGCCTTTCTTAATTAAATCACACTCCACTTTTACCCACCCCCAGGAAAAAGGGAAAAGAAAAGATGGATTCAGCACACTCCCCTTCGAATGCTAATTACTGTAAGCAGTGAAAGTCCTAAATCAGAAGGTTCATTCAGCTGGCTGCCCCATCCGTGAGGAAGACCCTGCTCACTTTTACAAGTGAAGTCGACTCTATTGTGTCTCTAATAATAGGCACAGATGTTGGGCCCGCCTTTCTCTGAGCGACTTTTGGCTAATAACTACCTTCAATGTGTCCCAGTTGCACCTGTTCAGCATTTTAAAATGAATTAGTGTGCTTGATTGCCTCCAAAAATCTTGTCCACTTTTGTCAACCTGATTATACTGCCACAATGCAAACCGATTATATGAGCGGCAGCCATTCAGCAAGCTGGAAGGAGGCCAACCCTACCAGCAGCCTAAGCTTTTTTATAGTTTTTGTTGTTGTTATTCTTAATGATTGCCTGACTTTAGAGAGGTCTTGAATTAATAACCACAGAAGATGGCTCTCACCGGCAGTCAGGTTGGAAAGGTCACCTAAGGTGGATCCATGTAGTAGTAAGGATGGGATGGCTAACAAATCAGAGCATGCCACACCAAGGATATCAGGAGTGATGTTAAATTATCTCAGCTAGGGAGCTGAGATCTTGAAGGACACATTACTGGGAAAGACACGCAGATAGTCAACGAGATAGATAAGCTACAAAGGACGTGCCCCTCTTCTTTGCAGTGCCAGGCAGCCGTAGAAATTCTGAGACCAATTCAAGGACCTGCTTTTATTTTAAAAACACAGCCATTTTATGTTTTTTTAAATATCTCTGTTCTCTCCTGTTACATATACCATGCTAATTTCACTTTCAGTTAGGATAGAAAAAATTTAAAAAGATATTAATATGGACATATAGAACATTTGTTTATTGAGTGTCTAAATCTCTCTACCTACTTAAAACTCAACTAATACCCCAAGCCTGAGAAATAATTAAGGGAGTTATCATAAAAATATACAACTGGTTTTTAAGCAAGCATTAAAAATGATGTTCAAAAAAAACTGAAGGCATGGGTAAAATCTTATTGTCATGTTTTTGATTAATTCCCCAGCAACTGCTTTGGTGCCAGCCAGGCACAGAGTAGAAATTCAGTGGCATATATTGAATGAATGAGTACCTAATTTAATAAAGAGATGAAATATAATACTAAGTGAAAAATTGCATAATTTGGAGGATCTATATAAATATTTATAAAAAGTGTTGCAAGGAAATATCAACCAAATGCTATTAGTAGAGATGCAAAGAGTGGATTATAATATTATTGCCATGTTTTTCTTCTTACTTTTTTGTACTTTCTAAAATAAAATTCTAAAAGTATTTTTAAAATGCTTAAAAAATAAAATAAGCTTACTGATGTATTTAAGCTCCTTACAGATTCTGAACATTAGACCTTTGTCAGATGTGTAGTTTGTGAGTACCTTCTCCTATCCTGTAAGTTGTCTGTTTACTCCCTTGAAACTTTCTCTTGCTATGCAGAAGCTCTTTCATTTAATTAGGGCCCACTTGTCAATTTTTGCTTTTGTTGCAATTGCTTTTGAGGACTTAGCCATAAATTCTTTGCCAAGGCCAATATCAAGAAGGGTATTTCCTAGGTTTTCTTCTAAGATTTTTATAGTTTGATGTCTTACATTTAATTCTTTAATTCATCTTAATTTTTGTATATGGTAATAGGTAGGGGTCCAGTTTCATTCTTCTGCATACAGATGGCCAGTTATCCCAGCACCATTTATTGAATAGGGAGTGTTTTCACCATTACTTATTTTTATCCACTTTGTCAAAAATCAGATTGTTATGGGTGTGCAGCTTTATTTCTGTGTTCTCTCTTCTGTTACACTGGTCTATGTGTCTGGTTTTGTACTAGTGCCATTCTGTTTTGGTTACTGTAGCCTTGTAATACAGTTTGATGTCAGGTAATGTGAATGCATCCAGTTTTGTTCTTTGCAGCAAAGGACCCAAACAGGTACTTCTCAAAAGAAGACATATAAGTAAGTGGCCAACAAATACATGAAAAAATGCACATTATCACTAATGCAAATCAAAACCACAATGAGATATCCTCTCATGCCAGTCTGAATATCTTTTGTTAAAAAGTCAAAAATAACAATGTTGGTGAGGCTGCAGGGAAAAGAGAACACTTATAAAATTTGGTCAGAATGTAAGTTTGTTCAGCTACTGTGGAGAGCAGTTTGGAGATTTCTTAAAGAGCTAAGAGTTGAACTACCATATGACCCAGCAATCTCATTACTGGGTATATACCCAAAGGAAACTAAATTGTTCTATCAAAAAGTTACATGTACTCATTTGTTCATTGCAGTGCTATTCACAATAAAAAGACATGGAATCAACCCAGGTGTCCATCAATGGTGGATTGGATAAAGAAAATGTGGTACAAGTATACCATGGAATACTATGCAACCATAAAAAAGAAATGAAATAATGTCCTTTGCAGCAACATGGGTGAAGCTGGAAGTGGTTACCTTAAGTAAACTAACAAGTAATACAGAAATGGAAAACCAAATACCACATGTTCTTACTTATAAGTAGGAGCTAAATATTAGGTATACATGGACATAAAGATGGGAACAACAGACGCTGGGGAATACAAGATTGAGGAGGCAGAGAAGGGGGCAAGGGTTGGGAAGCTATTTATTGGGTACTAGGCTCACTACCTAGGTGACTGATTTATTCATACTCCTAACTTCAGCATCACATAACATACATTTGTAACAAACTTGCACATATACCAACTGAATCTAAAACAAAATTTGAAAAATAGCAATAAAATAAAAAATAAAATAAGCTTTAGGAGGAAAAAAGGTATCTTTATACTTGGGAAGTGATACACAAAGCTGAAAATCTTCCCTGGTCTCTGCCAGTATTTGCTAAAAGAAAAGTATCTGCACATAATTCAAAACTCTACTAATAAACAATGGAATTATAGTACCAAATCATTCTTTTTTTTTTTTTTTCCTGACAGAGCCTCACTCTGTCACCCAGGGTGGAGTGCAGTGGCACCATCGTGGCTTACTGCAACCTCCACTTTCTGGATTCAAGTGATTCTCATACCTCAGCCTCCCAATTAGCTGGGATTACACGCCTGGCTAATTTCTGTATTTTTAGTAGAGGCAGGTTTTCACCATGTTGGCCAGGCTGGTCTCATACTCCTGACCTCAGGTTATCTGCCCACCTCGGCCTCCCAAAGTGCTGTGATTACAGGTATGAGCCAACACACCCAGCCCCAAATCATTCTTAAAGTGTCATCATCTGTCAGTACATCCTCATACCTGTTAAAGTATGCCCCTACCAACAGACAAAATGGACTCCTCATGGCTAATGTTCTCAGAGTTAGAACAAGAAGGCCATGGATGGATGAGGGAGAGTCACCTACTCTGTGTTTTCAAGAAGATCTTGTAAAAGTGTCACAGGACTTCCCTTTCTACAATCAAGCCAAACCAGCTCCTGTTGTCAGTGCTGAGCTAGACCATGGCTGGAAATTCCCCCCCTGACCACCCACAGGCCACCTGATGCCAACCCACTGGCTACCTGGAACCAGCCCATTAAGAGAGACTGACAATTTGGGGCTTAGAAGTCATCATTCAGACTCTTCCTCGCTCCCCCACCTGCTCTCCCCTGCCCTGTGGTTTAACCTTTATAATTGTGCACTCTCCAACCCCCCACACCACCACCCCCACCCACAGAGCACACTTTCATTCTACACCAGAGGCTGTGTCTACCCAGTCTACAGATAGTTTATTACGGAAAATACAGCTCTCCCTTTCTTTTTCCCAAAGATCTTACAGCAACAAGAATGGGATCCCAAGTGGCCCCCAGTTCATTCCTGCAGGATCAAGCCCAGCACATGGAGGTCAGCTGCCTTCCTGGCTGCCCTGGGGAGGAATAGGAGAATCCCTCTGGGACCCAGGGTCTCCTGTTTTGAGGATGAGGTCTCAGAGACTATTTTGTTCAGGGAGCCTGCCCATGTGGCTACACAGGGGACCCATTTGTGTGAACAACTTGCTCTTTGTGGGGCACACATGCTTCTCAGATATCCTCTCACTTCAGTTTTGTGAGGACGTGTACTTTGGTTACACCTGAAGGGACACCTTCATAAGGTGAGTGCTGTGGGGAACCTGGGTTCTAAGGGAATGGTCCCTGACTGGCCACCATCAGGTATTTCCACAGCTCACGCTCTGACCAACCACCGTCAGGTACCCTGGTGGTTTTTCAAATTTGAAATTTAAAGATTAAGGCTAGATAAAAATTGACCTGAGAGATCCATCCAAATTGCTCTAGTTACACATGAAATTAGAACAAAGAAGAGTATGAACTTCTCAAAAATAACTTCTTGTCTCAGCCCTCCCACTTGAGTGACAGTCCTGAGTATTGTTCAGCCTGTCACTCACACTCCATGACAATGAGGAAGCCTTCCCTCAGCCCCTACGGTTTTGGTTTTGTTGCTGTGAGCAGGATTCCAAAGCTACTCTGCTCTTTCAGAAGCCACAGTGAAGGGAACTTAGGACCTGGCAAGCCAGTAGAAGAGCAGGAATCCCTTCCCAGTCAGGCTCTCAGCCTGTCTGTGAAATCCAGTTGAAAAGAGAGGTAAATCGCTGTTTGTCTCCTCTATAAAATTTGCATTAATGGGAGAAAACGATCTGTGTGAAGAGTCTTGGGTGCAGCAGCTCTGCTGTGCTTGTTAGTATTGTTTAGTATGAAAAATCCTATTGTTTAATCTGTTTCCATATGAGGAAGTTCCTTGTTTCCTCTTCACCTTTCATCATGATTATAAGTTTCCTGAGGCCTCCCCAGTTTTGTGGAACTGTGAGTCAATTAAACCTCTTTCCTTTATAAATTACCCAGTCTCAAGTATTTCTTTATAGCAGTGTGAAAATGGACCAACTTAAATTGGTATCACAGAGAGTGGGGCACTGCTATACAGATACATGAAAATGTGGAAGCAGCTTTGAAACTGGGTAATGGACAGAGGTTGAAACAATTTGGAGGGCTGAGAAGAAGATAGGAAGATTTGGGAAAGTTTGGAACTTCTGAGAAACTTGTTGAATGGCTTTGAACAAAATGCTGATAGTGATATGGAAAATGAAGTCCAAGCTGAGGTGGTGTCAGATGGAGATGAAGAACTTCTTACCAACTGGAGTAAAGGTAATTCTTGCTATTCTTTAGCAAAGAGACTAGTGGTATTTTGCCCCTGCCCTAGAGATCTGTAGAACTTTAACTTGAGGGAATTGATCTGAAATTGGAACTTATGTTTAAAAGGGAAGCAGAGAATAAAATGTGGGAAAATTTGCAACCTGAGGATGCAATAGAAAAGAAAAACCCATTTTCTGGAAAGAAATTCAAGCTGGCTGCAGAAATTTGCATAAATAACAAGGAGACAAATGTTACTTGCCAAGACAATGGGGAAAATGTCTCCAGAGCATGTCAGAGATCTTGGCAGCATCCCCTCTCATCACAGGCCTGGAAGCCTCAGGGGGAAACATGGTTTTGTGTGGCTGTCCCCAGGCCCTCATGCTCTGTGCAGCCTCAGGACTTGGTGCCCTGTGTTGCAGCTACTTCAGCTCCAGTCATGGCTAAAAAGGACCAAGGTATATCTCAAGCTGTGGCTTCAGAGGGTGCAAGCCCCAAGCCTTGGCAGCTTCCTTGTGGTGTTGGGCATGTGGGTGCACAGAAGACAAGAGATGAGCTTTGGGAGCCTCTGCCTAGATTTCAGAGGATGTATGGAAATGTCTGGATGTCCAGACAGAAGTGTACTGCAGGGGCAAAGCCCTCATGGAAAAACTCTATTAGGGCAATGCAGAGGGGAAATGTGGCATGGGAGCCCCTACAGAGAGTCTCCACTGGGGCACTGCCTAGTGGAACTGTGAGAAGAGGGCCACCGTCCTTCAGATCCCAGAATGGTAGGTCCACCAACAGCTTGCACCCTGCACCTGGAAAAGCCACAGGCACTCAATGTCAGCCTGTAAAAGAGTTGCCCAAGGCCATGGGAGCCCACCCCTTGCATCAGCCTGCTTCAGATGTCAAGACATGGAGTCAAAGGTCATTTCAGAACTTTAAGATTTAATAATTGCCCTGCTGGTTTCAGAGTTTCATGAGGCCTGTGGCCTCTTTGATTTGGCCAATGTATTTAATTGAGAATGGTAACATTTATCCAATGCCTGCACCCCCATTTTATCTTGGAAGGAACTAACTTGCTTTTGATTTTACAGGCTCATAGGTGGAAGGGACTTGCCTTGTTTCAGATGAGACTTTGGACTTGGACTTTTGAGTTTATGTTGGAGTGAGCTAAGATTTTGGGGGATTGTTGGAAAGGCATGATTGGTTTTGAAACGTATAAAAGACATGAGGTTTGGGAGGGCCCATGAGTGGAATGATATGGTTTGGCTCTGTGTCCCCATTCAAATTTCATCTTGAATTTTAATCCACTCAAGTTGAGGGGGGAGACCTGTAATCCCGTGTCTGGAGGGGAGGTGGTTGTATTATGGGGGTGCTTTTCCCCAGGCTGTTCTTATGATAGTGAGTGAGTTTTCATGAATCTGATGTTTTTTTAAGTGTGTGACACTTCCCTTGCTTACACTTTTCTCTCTTGCCATCATATGAAGAAAGTTCTTGCTCACTCCTCAGCTTCCACCATGATTGTAAGTTTCCTGAGGCCTCTCCAGCCGTGTGCAATGGTAAGTCAATTAAACCTCTTTCCTTTATAAATTATCCAGTCTCAGATATTTCTTTATAGCAGTGTGAAAACAGACTAATACAGTAGTCATTGCTTTAATTGCACTTCATCTTCAGAATCATACTGGTAGAGACATGTTTCATCTCCTGTTACAATTTTATAAATTTATTCATATATTTATCTATATCTGTATCTATATGTTTGATTTTAAGGAATTGATAAATCACATGATTGTGTGGGCTGGCAGGTCCAAAAAATCTGCAGAGCAAGCTAGCAGGCTGCAAACTCAGGTAAGATTGACGTTTCCATCTTGGGTATAAAATCTGTAGAGAACATTGGCAGGCTGGAAGCTCTGGTTTATTGTTTCTTATTCTCCAGGAAATGTGTTTCTATTCTTAAGGCCTTCATTGACTGTCTGAGGCTCACTCACATTGTCAAAAAGAAGCTCCTTTACTTAAAGTCAACTGATTGTAAATGTTAATTACATATACAAAATATCTTCACGGTAACCTCTAGATTAGTGTTTGATCGAACAACTGGACCCCTTGCCTCAGCCAACTTGACACATAAAACTAACCATTACACTTATTCATTTTGTTTCTTATCCTGTAAATATTTTCTCTGCTCTTCACTTGCTTCAGATCACGGAGACAGGAATCACTTATTAACATCTATGTCTTCAGTACAAAGGGCAGAATTCTGCCTAGAACAAATGCATAAAAATTTTAGATGACTAGATGGATAAAGGGTTGGATGAATAGATCGATGGATAAATGGATGGAATAAGGGAAGAAGAGAAGGAAGGAAGAAAGGAAAGATGGAGGAAAGGAAAGTTTAAATTCCTTGTTTCTATAGTAATCTCTTCCTTACTATATTCTTATACTTTTGTTTATATCACAACTCATGACTGATCTAATGCTGGCCATTTGGCAGTTTATTTTTTCCAAATAAAAATCTAAACTCTGCTAAAATTTTTTTCTGCAAATCTTTACATATATTCAGAACCTAGCAAAGCAATGGAAACATAAGTAAACCAAAAATTATTTATGAGATTATTCTAAAATTTAACTTTTTAAAAAAATAATAAAGCATTTGCATATACATGGCTGTTCATCAAGAACATTCAGATGATTCTTCAAGTTTTTACGTTTCCGTGATTAAGGTCTTATTATTTTTCTCACTTAACAGTAACAGAAACTAGAATTCCCTAATGGTGTGTGGTTTCACTATGTGCTGTTTAGTGTGCTAACGGTAAGCTGTGTCATCTTGAATAGGACAGAAGTCCTCATGTAATGAATTAAAAGCATGGAACCATTTTCACTTAGCACCCTCCTCCTAACAGTCTCCAACTGGAAAGCTCTTCACTTAATCCAAAACTAGAGACCTTGATCTCCCGTATGGCCCATGTTCCACGGGATGGGACAGGGGCTCAGATGTTCCCCATAGACAAGGAATGAATCTCCAGGCTGGCCATTCCCAGACTCCCTAGCTTGGAGTACACATTCAGGTGCATCTGCCATACAGGGTCATTTTCGGGGTATGCTTAAGTTACTGTTATAAGGTGCATTTACACCAGGCTTCACCAATACCTTCAACAAAATCCTCTCAGCGGCCACTCACCACCTGGTTATAAACCTTCTCCTACATTTTGGGTTTCTATTACTCTAGCAGCCACTTCCAGGGACTATTGGCTATGGTACTGGCTATCTACAACTGTATAACAAATTATCCCAAAAGTTGGTGACTTAAGACAAGAATAAACATTTATTATTTTACAAGATTTCTATATTTCAGCAATTCAGCAATGGCTAGGCATGGTGGTTCTGGCTTGTATTCTTTCAAGAAATTGTAATAAAGATGTTGGCTCAAACTACAGTCATTAGAAGTCTTAGCTGGAAGACCCACTTTCAAGACAAATCACTCGGGTGGCTGACAGGGTGTGCTGGACCACTTCATAGGCACCTTGAGAACCTTCATGAGATGGCAGCTGGCCTACATCGGAGTGACTCAAGAGGAAGCAAGGCGAAAGATGCATCAAATGCCTTTGGTGACCTCTTCCTAGGAGCCACATGCCACCATTTCCACAGTATGTTCTTGGGTGCACAGATCATCACTATGTAATGTAAGAGGAAAGCATAACAGACTTGAATGCCAGGAGGTGAGGATTCTAAAGGCCAGCTTTGAGGCTTCCTGCCACAGATGTCTCATGTCTCACTCTTTCTTTGGAGAACAGAAGCGATGGTAAGAAGAACTCATAAGTGGAAATATAATGTTTTGCAAGAATTCCACAAGGCGAGTATATACATTTAGCAATGTAAATTTTTGTTTATGTTCTTCTTGTAGTTTCTCTGTTTCATTTTCTTCATTCAATGAGAATATCAGCTTCATTCTCTTCACCCCCATGTGGATATCATGGGAAATAATAAAATTTATATGCAAGTAATCCTGGCTTTTGCTTACCAACATCTTAAACTTCAGAGATGCAAAAATGTATGAAGTCTGTCTTGAAAAAAACAGGAAAATATCAGATTCCTCTACATCTAAATATTGCTGTCATATATATACTATCTTGGAAGCAGCAAGACCCCTGACAGAAAAATATTTTATGTTCAGTGCAGAATGATGTGAGCACAAGAGTTTCTAGTGTTCCAATCTGGCACAGAAGCCAAAGAGAAATTCCCAGGCTCGAAGTAAAACTAGCAGTAGACAGCTGCCAGAACCTGAAACACTAAGGGGACGATGGCAGAAATATCTCAGATCTAACCTGTGTAGCTTGATGCTTAAGGATGAGAGAAACCACTTGTTTAATGTCTCTGTCTAAGACTCTGGTTCAAGTGGAGATACACACTCAGATATTTAATTTGCCCAATAGAATGGGAATTCAAAGTATAAAATTAAACTGGTCAGCTAAAAATAATTATATTTGTTGCATACTGTTCAAGTTCTGTTCATAAGTACAATGACTACATGAGTTCCACCTCAAAGAATGCACTATATCAGTTGGGCACATCCTATTAGACTTCTGTATTTTAAGGTAGCCCCAGGTCTCTACATAACGAAGGCAGTTAACTTATTTCAAAGATTCTTCATTTTGATAAAATGGTTCATCACAAACAATTACCTATATATTAGAAAAATTTGCCAGTTTCCTATATGATACCAGATTCATCTAGACAACCATATAATTGCTTTTCCTATAGAATTTTATAATGTCCTATTTTCTGGGATAATATTATGACTAAAAATGTCTGAAAGAATTGTTGACTTCATAAAGAAACTACTCCCTTGTCCTGAAATATTCTCTATCTTTCAAGCTCCTATTTGTGGACCCCCTCAACCATACTATCCTCCTCAATTCTTCTTATTATAATCCAGCAATTTCCCTTCTGTGCTTCCATAACTTTTTGTGTTTCACTTACTGGTTTTGTGAGCCTTTGTCTGTGTGGTTTTTTTGTCTATGTCTTTATCTTCTTGAAGTCACAATCTGTCTTATTTTCATGTCTATAGACAGGAGCAGTGACTCAACCAAAGAAACACCTGAATAAACTATAATTTATTAAATTAAAGCAAAAATATGAAATTGGCACCCTCAGCACACCGCCTTTTAAAAATCATAACTGTGGTATCTCCCTTCTCTCCTTTCTTGTTGTCTCTTCTTCCCTCCCCACATAATCACTGCTCCTCTACACCTTCTACACTTATGCATGACCTCATTGAAGACACATTTGCTCATTCAAACTGAAAGTCTGCTCTCAGGAAAAGCCCCAGTATGAATAACCTCCATCTTTGTGGGAAAGCAAGTCATCTACCAATCCTAAGAGGACATACAATGCAATCAGACAATTGTAGATTCAAGATCTCTCTCAACACTTGCCAGACATCTGACCTGCAACAAATTATTTAATCTCTTGCCTTCATTTTCTGGCCTGTAAAGGCAATGTGACAATGCCAATTCCAGAGGGTTGCCTAAGTGATTTATGAAGAATCATTACAATGCTTAGCTGAGAGAGCAGGCTGTGTGTACAGTTGACTTTCGGGAGACATACAGAGCATGATGATAACTTTCCAGTGTTGGTGGGGGCAACCTCTTCCTGAATTCTCCCTGAAGTCCACTGTGTTATATTCAGGACTAGCTGCTATGGTGAGGAATATAGCTAGATTACTTTCTCTCGTTTTTCCCTCCTTCAAGAGGATCTTCAAGTAGCTGAGAAAGTACAATCAGGGAGAGTAACACATTGTGCTCAAAAGTACTTCTCCCACTGAGATCTCAAATCACATATGAAAGGAGAGAAACCAAGTCCCACCATAAACTTCACAGCCATAGACCCCGAAATCCTCTGCCAGATTCATATAAAATGAAGGCAAGAACTAGCACTAAAGCTCCCAGCTCTACCTCATCCCAATTTCCTCAAAATGCTCCAAGTAAAGCTATGCTTTTGGAAAACACCCCATGAATTCACTGATTCAGTTTTATGCAGCTATCCAAACACTGAGCTTAATTTTGTTTACTTTAAGAAGAGGGAAAATAGCCTCCAAAGGTAGTAAATCAAGTAGAATTATTTCAGTTATCAAGTCCTTCTCTGTGAAACTCAAAGTCAGCAGTTGAAATGATCAACCTCTTAAAAATAATTAAAAGCAGACATCTGGAAAATACTAGTAACTGCAGCACTCACAGCGCCAGAAACATATTCCAGGAATAACCAAGGCTTCATTTTTTCAAAAAAATTATATTTTTATTTTATTTTAAACAGAAGCTTATCACCCATGAACATAAAACACGAATGTCTAATAAAATTTACTTTTAAAAAATTTCAGCAAGTTAATGTCAACACATGTTATTAATTTTTGCTAGGAAGCCATTCTTAATGGGGAGTCTAGAAGCATGGCCAACCAGAGTTTAATGAGCTGGTGGCTGTTCAATAGCACATGCATCACAATGAGACCAGATGGACCATTAAATTTCATCCTCCACATTCTTTTTTGGAATGTGAAAATATTGTCCCCTATATCTCTGGCACACCTCTAAATTTCCATAAAATTCTTCTTTAGGACATATCAATGCACCTTCATATAATCTCTAGAACAAATATTAATCTTGGTCACAATCTTGGATCATTATCATCCAGCAGCCTGTGCGCTGAAGCACCTCTGCCATTCATTCTACTTTATTTCAAAGAATAACAACCACAACATCAACAGCAATACATGTATACCCAGCTTCCACATCAACCTGCGGATCCAGCCTCCAGACTGGTCCCACAGGTCCATATAGCAGGCTAGCTTCTGCGGCTCCAGGGACAAGGCCAGTGCCCACAACACCAGGCTCCATGCCTACTGCAGCATCAGGCCAGGCCAGGCTCCTACCCAGGCCCTGGGGCCTAAAACATCAGTGGATCCAGGTCTGCTCCAGCAGACCTAGGGTTCAGGGCCACTCCAATAGATTCATGTGTTAGACTGACCCCACAGGCAAAGGCTTCAGAACTCCCTTTGCATACTCAGGCGTCGGTCCAGCCGTTGTGGACTTAGGCTCTAGACGTGTCCCAGTGGACTCAGGCACCAACCCCATTCCAGTGCCTGGCCAGCCACTGTAGATTCAGGATCAAGACTCACTTCAGCATGATGTTAGCCCCTGGGGACCCAGGCTGCAGGCCAGTCCCCACAGATACATGCCCTGGGCCTGCTCACTGGGATCTAGGCTCCAGGTCCACTTCCATGCAGCCAATCAATAAGTCCATTCCTGGGGATCCAGGATCCAGGGGCATTCCCATGGACCTATAAACCAGCCCTGCTGGTCTACAACACCAAGATAGCCTGCCTGAGAACTCTAGCAGCAATCCACCCTTGGACCATGCCAGACAGCCTGCCAAAACCTCTGGGCAGGCTGACTGGAGAAGGCTTTGAAGACAAAGCCAATCTGCAAAAAAAAGGAATAAGTTCCCACTTCTTATAATGCACAGATACCAGCCAGGCGTGGTGGCTCATGCCTGTAATCCTAGCACTTTGGGAGGCAGAGGCGGGTGGATCATGAGGTCAGGAGTTCGAGACCAGCCTGACCAACATGGTGAAACCCCATCTCTACTAAAAATACAAAAGGTAGCCAGGCGTGGTGGTGAGTGCCTATAATCCAAGCTACTTAGGAGGCTGAGGCAGGAGAATCACTTGAACCAGGAAGCAGTGGTTGCAGTGAGCCAAGATTGTGCCATTGCACTCCAGCCTGGGCAACAGAGGGAGACTCTGTCTCAAAAAAAAAAAAAAACAAACAAACAAAAAAACCCACACAGATAACAATTCATAGCAACAAGGGCCAAGAACAATCAGGAAAACATGACACAACCAAAGAAACAAAATAAATCATCAATAACTGACTCCAAAGAAATGGAGATACATAAACTGCATGACAAACAATTCAGTTGTTTAAAGGAAGCTCAGCAAACTTTAGTAAAATACAGAAAAACAAGTCAATTAAATCAGAAAAACAATAAGTGAACAAAATTAGAAACTTACCAGAGAGATTGGAATTATCTTAAAACCTCAGAAATTCTGGAGCTAAAAATTGTAATGAACAAAATGAAAAATGTAATCAATAGTAGAGAGACTAAACAGCAGAAATAATCAAGCAAAAAAGAGAATCTGAACTTGAAGACAGTTCATTTGGAAATATATAGTCAGAGAGGAAAAAGAAAGGATAAAAAGTCATAAAAAAAGCTTACAGGGCTTGTGAGAAGGCATCAAAAGGGCATTTGTCTTAAAATTCTAAGAGTTCAATATATATAAGAGAAATAAGAAATAGAAAACTTATTCAAATAAATAAATAAATAACAGAAACTTTCCAAATATAAGGAAAGATATAAAACATCCAGGTAGAGAAAGGTCAAATATCTCCAATCAGATTCAATTCAAACAAGGTTACAATGAAACACATTATAACAAAACTGTACAAAATCAAAGACAAAGAAAGCAGCACTAAAAAAGAAGAAATCCCATATAGCCTTATAAATCCTATAAGGCTAGTAGTAGGTTTCTCAGCAGAAATCTAACAAGCCAGGAGAAAATAGAATAATCTAGTCATAGTGCTGAATCAAAAAACAAAAACAAAAACTGCCAACCGAGAATATTTCATCTGCAAAGCTGTCCTTTAGAAATGAAGGAAAGGTAAAGACTTTTCCAGACAAACAGAAACTGAAGGAGTTCATCACCACAAGACCTGCCTTATAAAAAATGCTAAAGGGAAGAAAACAACACTGATTAGTAACATGAAAACATATGGAAGTATAAAACTCACTGGTAAAGGCAAGTATACAGTCAAATTCAGAACATTATAATACTGAGATGGTGGTGTATAAATCACCTATATCTTTATGATAAAGATTAAAAGAACAACATAAAAATAATAATAGTTGCCACAAATTACTAAGAAATATACAATAAAATAGGATGTGACTTATGATATCAAACATAAAATGTGGTGGATGGAATAAACATGTGGTTTTATTTATTTATTTATTTATTTATTTATTTATATTTTAAAAGACAGGGTCTTGCTGTCACCCAGGTTGAAATGTAGTTGCATGAATACAGCTCACTGCATCCTTGAACTCCCTGGCCTCAAGGGATCCTCCTGCCTTAGCCTCCCAAGTAGCTAGGGTCACAGGTGCATGCCACCATGCCCAGCTAATATATATTTTTAAATATTTTGTAGTGACAGGGTCTCAGTATGTTGCTCAGCCTGGTCTCGAACCCCTGACCTCAAGCAATCCTCCTGCCTTGCCTCCCAAAGTGCTAAAATTACAGGTATGAGTCATTTTACCTGGCCTAGTTTTATTTTTTTAATATATGACGAAAGGTAAATTGTTATCAATTTGAAATAGCACGTTATAACTGAAACATGTTTCATGTAAGCTTCTTAGTAACTACAAGTCAAAAACCTATAGTGATAGACAAAAGATAAAAAGTAAACTACTAGAGAAAATCATCTAACCCCAAAGAAAGACAACCAGAACAAATGAAAAGAAAGGATCTACAAAACAACGAGAAAACTGTTAATAAAATGGTCCTATTAACTCCTTACATAGCAATAATTACCTTAAATGTAAATGGATTAAATTCTTAAATTAAAAGACATAAAGTGGCTAAGGGATACAAAAAACATGACCTAGGACTGCAAATAAAGGGATGAAAGGATATTCTGCACAAATGGAAGCCAAAAGGAGCAATAATTTTAGACTTTAAGTAAAAAATTATAAAAAGAGATAAGGTTATTATATAATTATAAGGGTATCAACTCATTAAGAAGATATAATTTTAAATATATATGTACCCAACACCACAGCACTTAAATATATAAAGCAAATATGAATAGATCTGAAGGAAAAGATAGGTAGTAATACACAAATAGCATAGTATTTCAATATGCCAGTTTCAGCAACAAACAGAAAGTCAAAAAGAAAACATCAGACCTAAGCTACACTTTGGTCCAAATGGATCTTACAGACCTTACAGAACATTCTATCCAACAGCAGCAAAATACACATTATTTTCAAGTGAACACAGGGCATTCTCTAAGATAAATCATATGTTAAACCACTAAACACGTTTTCACTAATTTAGAAAAGATTGAAGTCATAGCAAGTGTTTTTTCCTATCACAATATTTGAAACTAGAAATCGATAATGAGCAGAATTTTGGAAAATTCACAGACACATGAAAAACAACATGCTTCTAAACAAGCAACAAGTCAAATAAAAAATTAAAAAGGAAATGAAGAAATATCTTGAGACAAATGAAATATCCACACAACATACCAAACTGATGGAATGCAGCAAAAACAGTTCTAAGAGGAAGGTTTATAGCAATACGTGTGTGTGCGTGTGTGTGTGTGTGTGTCAAGATCTAACATTACAAGGAACTAGCAAAAACAAACATACAAACAAAAACCAGAATAGCCCAAATTTAGTATAAGGGAAGAAAAAATAAGATTAAAGCAGTAATAAATGATATAGAGACTAGAAAAACAATAGAAGTGGTAAACAGAACTAAGCACTGGTTTTTTGAAAAGATAATCAAAATTGATAAAGCTTTAACTAGACTATGAAAAAAGAGACTATTCAAATAAATAAAATCAGAAATAAGAGATATTACAATTGATAAAATAGAAATATAAAGAATTGTAAGAGACTATTACGAACAAAGATATACCAAAAATTTGGATAACCTAGAAGAAATGTGGCAATTTATAGAAAAACTGAACCTACCAAGACTTAATCGTGAAGAAACAGAAAATTTGAACAGACCAATAAAGAGTAAGGACATTGAATCAGTAATAACAGGTCTCTCAGCAAAAAAAAGCTCAGAACCTGATAAATTCACTCATGAATTCTACCAAACTTTTTTATTTATTTATTTATTTATTTATTTATTTATTTATTTATTTTATTTTTTGAGACGGAGTTCGCTCTTTCGCCCAGGCTGGAGTGCAGTGGCGCGATCTCGGCTCACAGCATCCTCCACCCCCCAGGTTCAAGCAATTCTCCTGCTCCAGCTTCCCGAATAGCTGGGATTACAGGTGTGTGCCACCACGCCCAGCTAACTTTTTGTATTTTTATTAGAGATGGGGTTTCACTATGTTGGCCAGGCTGGTCCGAACTCTTGACCTCAGGTGATCCACTCACCTCAGCTTCCCAAAGTGCTAGAATTACAGGCGTGAGCCACCATACCCGGCCTACCAAACATTTTTAAAAGAACTATTATTAATTCTTCTCAAGCTCTTCTTAAAAAATGAAGGGGAGGACATACACATTTTACAAGGTTAGCATTATCCTGATACCAAAGCCAAAGATGTTACAAGAAAAATAATTATAAATCTATATTACTGATAAACATAGATGCATGAATTGTCAATGAAATACTAGCAAACAAAATTCCACAGCACATGAAATTATTATTCACTATCATCAAATGGGATTCATCACTAGAATGCAAGGATGTTTCAACATACACAAATTTATAAATTTGATATATCACTTTAAAAGAATATAGGACCAGTAACCATTACGATCGTCTCAAAAGATGCAGAAAAAGCGTTTGACAAAACTCAACATCCTTCTACGATAAAAGTCAAAAAACAAATTAGATTTAGAATGAATGTACATCAACAAAGTAAAAAACATATATGACAAATTCAAAGTTGACATCACACTCAATGGTAAAAAGCTGAAAACTTTTCCTCTGAGATTAGGAACAATGCAAGGATGCCACTCTCACTACTTCTATTCAACATAATAATGAATGTCTTACATAGAGAAATTAGGCAAGAAGAAGAAACAACAGTCATCCAAATTGAAAAAGAAGATGTTAAATTGTCATTGCTTGGGGGTGACATGATCTCATATACAGAAAACTCAGAAGACAAAAAAACCTGTTAGAACTATTAAATGAATTTAGTAAAGTTGTAGGATACAAAATCAACATAAAAAATCAGTAGTGTTTCTATCAGTACCCAAAAGCAAAATCAAGAAAATAATCCTATTTATACTAGCTACTGGAAAAAAAAAATAAACTAAAAACCTTAGGAATACATTTAACCAAGGAGGTAAAACTCCTGTTCACTGAAAACTATAAAACATTAATGAAAGAATTTGAAGAAGACACAAATAAATTAAAAGAGATCTCATGTTCATGTATTGGAAGAATTAATATTGTTGAAATACTCATAACCCAAGTGACCTATAGATTCAATGTGAAAGCTATCAAAATTCCAGTGACAGTTTTTTCACAAAAATAGAAAAAATGATTCTAAAATTCACATGGAACTACAAAAGACCTCAGGTAGCCAAAGCCACCTTGAGCAAAAAGAGCAATGCTGGAGACATTACTCTATTTGACTTCAAAATATACTACAAATCTACAGTAATCAAAACAGCATGATACTAGCATTAAAACAGACACATAGACCAATGAGACAGAATAGAAAACTCATATATAAATCCACACAATTGTGGTCAACTGAATTGTGACAAAATTGCCAGAAATACAAAATGGGGAAAGGATAGTCTATTCAATAAATGGTTTTGAGATAACTGGATATCCATATGCAGAATACAGGTACAGCCTTATCTCACACTACATACAAAAATCAATTCAAAATGGTTTAAAGATTTAAATATAAGACATGAAACTGTAAAACTACTCGAAGGAAACAAGGGAGAAGCTCCATGACATTGGTCTGGGCAATGACTCTTTTGAATATGACCCCAGAACCACAGGTAATAAAAGCAAAAATAGACAAATGGAATTACATCAAATGAAAAAGCTTCTGCTTAGCCAAGAAAACAATCACAGGTAAGAGACAACCTGCAGAATGGGAGAAAATATCTGCAAACTATACATCTGATAAGAAGTTAATACCTAAGATCTACACAGAAGGTAAATGACTCACTAGCAAGAAAACAAATGACCTGCTTAAAAAATGAGCAAAGGACCTGAATAGACATTTACCAAAAGAAGACATGCAAATCACCAACAGGTATATGAAAAAACTGTTGAACATCACTAATAATTAAGGAAATCAAATTAAAACCACAAGGAGATATTATGTTACACCTGTTAGAAAGGCTATTATCAGAAAGTCAAATTTAACAAGTATTGGCAAAGATATGGAGAAAAGGGAACACTTGAACACTGTTGGTAGGAAGGTAATTTAGTATATCCATTATGGAAAATAGAATGAACATTAAAACATTAAAAATAAAATTACTGGGTATATATCCAAAGGAAATGGAATCAGTATGTTAAAGAGGTACCTGGACTCATATGTTTGTTGCAATATTATTAACAATAGCCAAGGTAGGGAATCAACCCGTGTTCCTCAATGCATGGTTGGATAAAGAAAATGTAATATACACACATACTGAAACATTCAGCCTTAAAAAATAAGAAAATTCTGTTACTTGCAACAATATGGATGAGCCTGGAGGCATTAAATTACATGAAATAAGCCAGGCACAGGAAGACAAATATTGCATGATCTTATTATACTTATATGTGAATCTAAAATCATTAATTCTTAGAAGCAGAGAGTAGATGGTGGTTGCCGGGGGCTGAGAGGGAGGAGGTTTTGGAGAGATATTGGTCAAAGGATGTGAAATTTCATTTAGATAGGAGCAATAAGTTCAAGAAATAGCTTATACAACATGATGACTGTAGTTAATGTATTGTACTTTTGAAAGTTGCTACGAAAGTAGATTTTAAGTGTTCTCACCACACACAAAAAAGATAAGTATGTAAGGTAACTAATGTATGTGTTAATTAGCTCATTTTAGCCATTTCACAAAGCATATGTATTTCAAAACATTATGTTGTATACTATAAATACATACAATATTTTATTTTTCAGTTAAAACCACACGCAATATTGTGTATTATATCTCTTGTACTTTATTTACTTCCAATCCCTGATGGACAGAAAAACAGTACACTGTCCATTAAATCAATTTCTGTGAGATGGACTACCCAAGTTTTAATTTTTATCAGAAGTTCCATTTTATTTCAATCTCCAAGTTTTGAAGAAACTAGGCTTCTATATGAGATCAACCTAAATTATTAATAGTGTAATTTAATTATTTTCCTTTTAAAGCAAAGAAAATAGGCAAGCCTTTGGGCGCAGGCAAATCTGTAGAAAACAGAATGGTAAGCTGACTTCAACAGGTGGTTGTGATGGTGATTTTAAAATAAATAAACAAATCAACAAACTGGCCTTGGGCAACTTTTCGGTGCATGTGGCATTGATTTCATCCATGTAACAGGTAGTAACTTGCTGAGCACCTACCACGCATGTGAGCTACTTCAGTATATCCAGTGGTCATATAAGAGTGACAAGCAGTATTCTTAGGGCATGCTTTGTGGTCTCCAGAAACAGTGATCCCAAAGAGAGGAGGCCACACAGGGGGTGAGGGTGAATGGGGGTATTAGCATACCCCGTCGAGATTCAGCTTTGTCTTGTGATCTTCCCTAGGCCCCCAAAGCAACTGTGTTTCCTTTTTCTCATTATACTTTCACATTGTATAATGGTTGTGTATTTCCTTCTCCCTACTTAGACAGTGAGCAGGTCCCTTGTCATATTCATCCTTACATCATCAGCTCCTCAACAAAGCAGCCAGTGCAACATGGGTGATTTTATACACACACATGCAGAGAGAGAGGGAATGGACACATGAACTACTTGTGATACTGTGATACTGCTGAAGGCAATCTCATCCATAAGGTCCTGAGAAGTGACCATTGCTTATACTGAGTGAAAGGAAACATAGGAGGTAGAGAAAATGACTTTTCCACAGGTTCTCCATTTTACTTCAAGGTGCTCTTCCTAGCCATGGTGAATTTATCTGGATGTAGAGGTCCTGTAAGACCAAGGCATCAAAGATGGAGTCTTCAGCACAGCAAAATAGGAAAGAACTCCTATTTTGTGTCAGAACATCTGGGTTTAACAGTGAACTCTACCATGTAACTCACACATTCATTTACTTATCTAGTGTTGCTCTGCCCCAAGCACATATTTACCAGTGGACAGAGCTGGAAATGGCCTGTGCAGAAGAGTTGAAGATGTGAAGGGTGAATCTTTAGGATAAAGTAGCCAAACAAGGTGTAAGTCATTCAGCAAAGAGTTATGTGAAGATGAGGATGGAGAAGTAGCCAAGGTCCCATTTCTTAAGGGATGCTATTTGTTTTGTTTTTTCTAGTTAAGATTCACAATATTTCCATTATACTTCCTGTGGAGCCACAATTTTCACAGAAGTACAAATATGACTCTATCAGCAAATATAAACCAAACACAGATCAACTTTATAGATGATTTAGAACAGGGCCCAATAATTCCTGAAATTTTTTAGTATAATTCCCATAGAGGAGAAAGAGTATGGGGCGTTGGTGATGATAGTAACAATGACCATAGCTATTCACATATAGCTCTAACTCTTAGTCCAATACTGTCCTAAAATCTACATATTTTAACTCATCTAATCCTCAAAACTGTATAAGGAATTTAAAACTCTACTAGTATTATGTTTTCTTGTTTGTTTGTTTGTCTTCATGGACACTTATACATAGAGAGTTTGAAAGCCTTGCTCAAGGTCATATAGCTGGTAAAAGGTAGAGTTTGGGTTTAAACACAGACATTTTGACTTTAAAGTGATACCACACTACATAGCCAAGACTTTGATACACACGTTACCTGATGTAACTCTTTGTTTATCAATATTGACTTTTAGAAAAAATAAATGGAATGGAAAATTAACTTCAGTAATTTAAATTCAACATTAGAATTCAGGTCAAATACCAGTTCATTGTAGAAACAAACCAAATTGAAAACAAGAGATTGTACTGTCTTAACCTTTTCAACACTTTTTATGCATTTTTAATCTCTCAAGTGAATATTTCATCAGGAAATATTTCTAAATTAATTTTTAAGTCCATCATTAAATCTCATTGTAAAAAACTACTCTTTAAGAAATTATGCATATCTATGCCATTATATCAAGTTGCCAGTCTCAAAATTGTTGTCATATGAATGCTGGAGATATTTCTGTCTAGTTGGAAAGTTTCTGTTTGGCAGGTCTATGAGTATGGGCCACAAAGTTAGAGATGAAGCATGCTCTTATTCCACACTAGTCAATTTACTGTGCCCAAAAGGAAAACATGGTCCTTGACCTTAGAATTCACTCTTGGCTTCAGCTAACCGGAACTCAAATATTTTTCCTTGGTCATTTTTTTTTTAATGCAAAAGAATATTCATGACCCATTGTCAAGTTCGGGTAATAACTCAAAATAAAAAATGTTCTACTAATATCTCATCAATTCATTAGATAACATAGATTGAAATAAGTTAAACATTATTGTATAATGTAAATAATTTAAATATAATGCCCACAGAGACAAGTTATCAGACTTCGAAATTTCATGAGAAACTGGAGATAGGAAACAGTACAGGAAGCAATAGTTCCTGTTAATGTAGCATATTCTCCTGAATCACATTACTGAGAATAAAAATATTTTTCAGTAATTGTATTGCCTTTAGCACACTGGAAATAAAATATCAAAGACTTGTTTTCATGTCCAACCAAAACGTAAATGGTATTAATAAGTTTAACATTACACTGAACATAGAGCTATTAATGAAAAAATGTATCCATACAGCAAATTGTTAATAAATTGGGCCTTGGGTACATGTTTTAATTTAAAGATTAATTTTGAAAAAAAATAAAATTGTAATATTTGTATTTTGTTTTTATGGCTAAAATTTGGCAATTAATATTGCTTTGCTTTAATTTTCATAGAAACAAAAGCATGGCCGTGTCTTTTTGCGCCCACCATCTAAACAGTTAAACGTTGCTTGTTGTTGCTGTTGTTTTTTAAAAAAACAACCTGGATTAAAGGTGAGAGGAGGCACCCATTCAAAAATTCTAAGTGGCAGAATTAAAGCAAACTCTGGAAAAGAAAGGTGCCCTCTTGAACTGACATGCATGGATGAGTGCACATCAGTAGCACAAAGGACTCCATTATTTCTGTATCAACGTAAATAGGAGAAAAAAATTGAACCACAGAGATGAATGATGAGCTGAGAGTCACACACCAGGCAGCCGCAGAGTGCAAACAGGAGCCCAGCGTTGTCTTTCCAAAGAACGGGGCATATATTAACTCCTTCGTTTCTCCAGTGCAATATATGCTTTGGGGATACCTTGGCAAAAGATCTCTACAGAAGACAAGACAAGAATTACTATTTTGGTAAATGATAAAGTTGAACTATAATAGAATCATACTTGTAATTGTAGTGTGGTGGGACACAGCAAGGACTCAGAGTCAGAAATAACTGAGCTTGATTCTAGTCAACCCCAGACTACCCTGCCCATAAAATTTGTTTCAATTTATTTCATGTATACGTTCTGATATTCATATTATAAATTTCACATTCATTTACACTCTTGTGAAGATTAGAATACATATGAGCAAATGTATATACTGTAAATTAAATGATAGGTGAGATAAATATAGTACATATACACATATATAAGAAAATTAGAACATGTATATTAAATATATATGTATATGTTACATTTAAATGAAGATATATGTACACACATGTTTTTAAATGAAGTTATATATATGTGTGTAACCATCCTTCAGTTCAAATTTTGAATTTTTCAATTCAAAATGTAATAGGGTGATATCGGAGTGCAAGTAACAAAGGAAACCAATATTGACATAATGCTACTATATCTGCTTTACAAAATACACTACCATTTTTATTCCTGACAATTTATTAGTACCCCCACTTTGCAAATAAGTAATTGTGGCTCTCAGAATTTGAGCAACTAGTTCAATGTTGAGTGCTACTGGAAGCAGAACTGGTTTTGGATTCCAGGGCTGTGAGCCTCTATAGCCTCATACTTTATGTCATGTCATGTTGCTTCTTGAGTTTTCAGTGTGTAGACATAAAAGACACACAACTTTAGAAACAGGATTTACCCATATGTTTTCCTATGAAAAGTCCCCCATTTAAACGTGAGAAACTGCAAACCAGAAAGGTGAAACAATTTTTCAGGCTTACAGATGTGGAGTAAGATCAGAACTCCAGTTTCCTTGACTGACTGTCCAATGCACCCTTCATGTCTCTTCTGTTTTGACAAGCATTGGTTAATACATCAATGTGACTAGGAAGACAAACCCCATGGAAGATTTGTCTCCAAACTGTTTGCAAACTCCCTCAGCAGTCTATCAGGAGCTGCTCTCTAGGAGCCTGGCACTTGGGCTCCTGAATAAAAGGAACAAGAAAGCAGAATGATGGGGCACATGGGGAGCAGGAAAGAGCAAGGGGCATCCTCGCTCATCTAGGGCACTGTGTTGATGGAACGCCAAGAAGGAAACGTGCTTTCCAGAACATCTTGCACATGACAGACAACTCATCTATATTAATTTTCTTCTCCTTCTGCATGATTTTTCCTGTAAGATTTATCTTGTCTACTAAAAGATACTGCCTGCCTATCTCTAGAATTCCACACTGGTTTAGCATTGTCAAGCAAAAGTTAAAAAGTAGAAATAAAACAAAAATCTCTCCTTCTGCTTCTCTGTGCAAACTTAGTGGAGCCAAGACACCGCCCCTTTCTTTAATGGGTCATGAGAGAATTAGGGCGCTTTCATAAAGCAGCTGGGATTCAGGGTGAGGTTCAAAGATCTCCAGCAGCATATTTTGGTGATTAAGAAAAGCAAGCGCTTAATTCCTCACTAGCTGCGTCTGCCAGGCCTGACACTTCCGACTGGCTTCTGAGATGCTGAATCCTTTTTTCTCCCCCTCTTCCAAATACAAACATTCGCACATTTCACTTTTAGTATGGCATGTTAAGGGGACGTGGGTTTTCATCTCTTTCACTTCTGTTAGCTTCTGAATATTTTTCATCAGTGAGTAAACTGTCTGCTGAGGACCGGGATGGCAACACTTCCATAAGAGCCTTGGAAAACCAAAACCAGAGAGATCAGCCCAAATCCTATTGTTTGAGGACATACTGGGCTTTCTAGAAGGGGGGAAAAAAAAGATAAAGAAGACTGTGATAACAGAATAAAGATTTTTGTGTTTTGTTTGTTTCTTTGTTTTTTGACTTGCATGTGTTTTTCCCAAGATTTTATTTTAGAATGTAGAAAAGTAGAAAGAAAATGAATACCCTATATTAGGCTAAACGTATATGAAAAAACTGATTTACATTTAGTCAAGTGTACATATTTTCTCATGTATATATTCTCCTTGGACAATTTAACATAAGTAGCAGACAGCATGACCCTCTAGTTCCATAAAATTTGGCATGCTTCTCTTGAGAATAAACACAGATAAACATCTGTCACTTCAAAGCTAACCACAACAATAACAAATTTCAATAGCAACATAAATAGGCAACCTATGTGTACATTTCTTTAGTTTTGAAAGAATGTCTTTTTACCTCCAGGGTTTTATTTTTTTTTTTTTCCTTTTCTTTCTCTTCCTCCACCTCCTCCTCCTTTTATCTGAAATCCAGTTAAACTCCATGTATTTTTAATCTCTTTTATTATTGGACAGGCCTCCTTCCTGTGTTTTCTTGTTTGTTTAATTTTAATTACATTGTATTATTTTTGTGGTCAGTGATTTTGTAGATGTCTCATTCTCCAAATTTCTGTGACTGTTTCCTCTTAGCGTCATTCCTCATGATGTCCTTTCACTTGCTCTTAAATCTTCTTTAATCTCTTTGAACTAGAATTTAAGTTTAGAGCAAGGGTCAACACACTACTGGCCATGGCCCAGATCCGGTCTACAACTTGTTTTGTAAATTAACATTTATTGCAACGCAACCAAACCATCTGTAAGCCAGTTATTTAAATATTGTCTGCTTTTACAGTATGTCAGATTTAAATAGTTGTGATAGTTCATATGGTTCACAAAGCCTAAAAAATGTACTCTCCAACCCTTTCCATAAAAACCTTGTCTATTTCTGGTCTACAAGTTTGATTAGATGCAAACCAAAAATGTTGGGGGAAGAATCTTTTAGAGATGGCGTTGTGTGCCTCCTATGACATCACATCCAGAGGCATGTGCGTCGGATTACCCCGCTACAAGTGATGCTCGGTTTTATCATCATCTCTCCACTAGAAACGTCCCATCTTATTTTTTTTTTTCTTTGCAGTTACTAAGTAACCTGTGGATAAATATTTGGACACTATGAAAATATTCTTTCCAAACAACCTCACACAGGTTTTTAATAGCAATTTTTGCCTACACCAGTTACCTCTAATCTGTTATGCCTTTTCTGTATTTTAGCTGCCATTCTGATGTAAAGAAAAAAAGTACCATCTGTTTGTTTTTGTTAGTTTTGCTTTTTCTTTAGTTCCTAGATTTTTTATTTCACAAATAAAATCTTATTATTTTTGATGTTCAAATTGTCCCACTAACTTTGCTAATGGGATCCTCTTATAAATGTTTTTTGTAGCCTTTTTGACATGACCCCCTTATATAGGACTCCCTAGCACACTGATATATAAAGGGTGGCCCCAAGTAGTTCATACGTTTCCCAAACCCAGAACCAGGATTAGCCATTCCTCTGAAGCCCCAATTTCTTTTCACGGGGAATGGTACTTAGAATCTAGGATCTGGGCATTTGTTTTCATTACTTCAGAGGAATCATTGCTCATAGGTCCATTAAGTAGTTCAGTTTAAGAAACAAACGAACAAAATCTCATAAAGTGATATCGTTCTGTCGAACTCAGATTCAACATTAGAGTTTCCCCCATACATCTGTGTTTTCTTTTACATTAAAAAGCCTGCTTCCTAAAGCCATTATTGTATTGACTTATTTACCTTATCTCATAATATATATAAAATAATTTTGAAATTTCAAAGCAATATTACTAGTAATGGGAAACAGTGCACAAAGTTACATTTTTTTCCTTCTTTTAAAAAATAATCCATAGGACATACAATCTGGACGTTGTGCCAAAATTTATTTAATACTTTTTTTCTTTGTGTGATTATAAACTTGTTTGCAACTTTAAGGCATTTTCCCCTTTTGATTATATAAAATCTGTTTTATTTTTCTGATCTTGGTTTCCTGGAGAAGCCACTCATAGACAGAGGTAGTGTGCCTTGGAACTTACTGCAAAGCAAAGAGGTACTGGAGGAACCCACTGGCCGCCACGTGCAGTGCGATCCGGGTACTGGAAAAGCACTGGGCTTCAGGGGCAAAGCCGTGGAGAAGTTGTAGGTGCTCCAGGAGGCTGTAAGGGAAACACATCTGATCCAGGAAGAGACAGCCTTGTTACCGCCCTCTACTGGCAGAGTTTATGTGCCAGCCGCAGAGGACAAACATCTACGTGGATGTTTGCTCCATGTAGTGGAGGGTCCGGCTCCATTCTCACAGGGCAGGGGCGGCAGGGTAGAGTTGGAACTGAGAGACAATAAATTAATAACTGCCATGGATAGTTTCCCACAGCTCTTGGCTTCAATGTTTCATTTTATGTTATTTTTTTTGTGTGTGTGTTTCATTTTGGATAATCATAAAGTGCTAGATTCATATTCTCTTTCTTCAGCTGTTTCCAATCTGCTGATAAGCCCACTGTGGAATTTTTAAATATGTATCTTGTTCAAATTACTTGTTTTTTTAAGCATTTTCATTTAATTTTTCTATAGTTTCCATCTCTATTAAAATTCCCCAGCTGTTTATGCTTGTGATATTTCCTCCATGGGATCATTTATTACATTAATCATTGTTAGTTTATAGTCCCTGCCTCATAGTTTGAACATCTGAGTCATCCCTGAGTCTGAGTCTATTGATAGCTTTATCTCTTAACAAGGAGCCATTTTTAATTCATTTACCTTGTGTGTCTTGCAGTATTTTATTGAGTGTCTAACACCATATATAGAACAGTAAAAACTTAAATAAGCAGTTTTAGACGTAGATATAGACACTCTTCTGTGAGCTGTTATGTGACATTGGATCAATCTCACTAGGTTTGGGTTTTGTTACTGCTAATGTTATTTTCAGTTTTCCACAGACTTTATATTTCTTTAGCAGTGCTAGGGTGTTGGAGAGTTTTTCTGTTTCTGTTCCTACACAGATTTCAGTATTCCTATAGCCCTGCTTCCTGGAGAAGTTTCTTTCTGTTTTTTTGTTCTTCCCCTCGCAGATTTCTGTTGTGTGAGTCTTGGTGCTAGTCCTATGCGGGATGCGGAGGACCGGAGGAGAGTTTCCTGCTCATCACCCAGAGATAAATGAGTTTAACTTCCACTGATCCCTGGTCCTTGGGGTCAGAAGATTTGCAGTTCCTTCCTTGGGAGCTCAAGGATATTTTTGTTTATTTGTTTGGGCAAAAATTTCAAAAGTACAGTGTGTTTTGTGCCTCTACCCCAGTTGTGATTAATCACTTCCTGTGTAGCTAGTGTATTAGACAAGTTCTCTAAAGGGACAGAACTCAGAGGAGATATATATATATATATATATATATATATATATATATATATATATATATATGAAAGGGAGTTTATTAGGAGAATTGACTCATGATCACAAGATGAAGTCCCTCAATAGGCCATCTTCAAGCTGAGGAGCAAGGAAGCCAGTCTGAGACCTAAAACCTCAAAAGTAGGGAGGCTGACAGTGCAGCCTTCAGCCTGTGGCCAAAGGCATGAAAGCCCCTGGACAAATGACTGGTGTAAGTCCAAGAGTCCAAAAGCTGAAGAACTCAGAGTCGGATGTTCAAGGGCAGGAAGCATCCAGCATGGGAGAAAGATGAAGGCTGGAAGACTCAGCAAGTAAAATCCTTCCAACTTCTCTTGCTTTATCCTAGCCATGCTGGCAGCCGATTAGATGGGCCCACCCAGATTTTGGGTGGGTCAGTGTCTCCCAGTTCACTGACTCAAATATTAATCTTCTTTGGCAACACCCTCACAGACACATCCAGGAACAATACTTGCATCCTTCAATCCAATCAAGTTGACATTCAATATTAACCATCACAGCTAGCCGACTGATGGAGGCCTGATTACTTCCTAGATAGCTGACGGAAGCTCTCTCTTGTCCTGTTCCTGAGTTTCTTTGTGACCATCTAGTAGAGACCTGTGGAGAAGAGCTTAAACATGAGTGAGAACTCATCCTCACTCTGTTTATCGGGCTCCTAATTATTCTAAATTAGTATGCTAGCTTATATTAGACCTTTAGGCATGGCTTAAATCTGTAGCTAATTTCTTCTTATGTATTTCTACAGTGTCATACTTCATTTCTCCCTTGCTCTTGCAAGAGGAAGAGATGTCTCCAGTTTCTCCTGAGAAGGCCTTGACATTTGGAATTCAATGCCTTCGATTGTCTTGCAACCAGAGTTCTTTGAAAGATTTTTAAAATGCTAGGATTTTGCAGATAATCTGGCTTTTTTTTTTTTCATTGATTTCATGGTAGTGATGTTTTGTGGCTTTCTCCTTCTTAAGTGAAAACAAAATTGGACCGGCAACAATTTAAGAGCTGGATAATGCCAAGTGTTTAGCATGTAAGGGGAAATAAGAATAATCATTTGCTGAGGAGTACAAATTAGTCAATCCATTTTGAAGAACATTCTTGGAAAACTTGGTCGAATTATAAATAAGCATAGCCTGTTCTTATGCAGTGCTACTCATGATTATATATTAAACTAAATTCTCAAATGGGTTTAGAGTGGACTTTTTCAAGGTTGTTCATCACACTATTGTTTGCGATGGTGGAGAACCATGGGCAGCCTTGGCAGCTGTCACTGGGAGAGTAGGTACCTGAAATATGGTAGGTGTACACCAGGGCATCTCATGTGGCAGCTCAGAGAAATAGGTCAGAAGTATTCATAGTAACCTCAGTGGATCTTAGAACTTTACTACTTATGTATGTAGCATAATACCATTTCACATACATTTAAACTAATGCACATAAATACTTAATGCACACTTGGTAAGAACAGACATAAGCAAAAGGATACACATGAACATATTCAAAAGATTGCTTATGGGAACAGAGAAAATAAGATTGGGGAAGGAGAATGCAAAGAAATAAATAATAATAACTAATAAAAATGATAGAAACTTGCTGAATATAGGGTTTTGCACAAATTGACTTTTTTAATCCTCAGAACAACCCTAAGAGATAGAAACTATTATTACTTTCATTTTACAAATGAAAAAATTGAGGCAGAGAGAAGTTAAATCAACAGCCCCAGATAACGTGGACAGCAGGAGCAGGCTATTAAATAAAACAGGTAGATCAGCGACAAAGACCATTCACTGAGGTGAATGATTAACTCAACACACTGGACCTGAAGTTTAATAAGAAATAAAGATTTTAAAAAACACACAGTAGTGGCCACAACAAAAAATACGTGTGAACTGGTTTTCTTACAGAATTCATAGTAATTGGTCTAATAAATGCATAATCTAAGCTGCTATTTTTAATAAATGAGACGCCAAATTATCTTAACACAAACAACACAGAATCTTATTTTGCTTCACTTCGGGATCCTAACTGGATCTTCCAACTCAACTGCCATAATCTTTTGTTTTGCTTTTTTTTTTTTTTTTTTCATTTTTCATCTAAACTGGCAGGAATGCAAAAAGACCACGGAAGGCCATATCCATTTCCTTTAGGTCATAACTTCAATATTGCATATATTGTTCCATTTGTAGCCCACAGACCGGTACTTCATCGAATGGCCAGACCTACTCTCAGATTAGATGCTAGTCTCTCACTAGGTAGCTATGTATCCAGGTAGAACTGGGGAGTCCTATTCACAAAGCAGGGGAGAAATAGAATGAAAATAATTTTTATCTATTACTTTTCCTAATTCAGAGGAAAGTGTCACTTATTATTTTTGTCTTCCACTTTCTCATCAAAGAACTTTAGATTGCTTAACTAGTTTAGGGAAAGTTGGATGTCTTCGAGCTAACATTAAGTGTTTCTAATAGTCTTTACACCACAAAAAGTCAAAAACTTCCTTCTGCCCCCTCACTTTTTTTTTTTTTTTTTTTTTTTTGAGACAGAGTCTCGCTCTGTCACTCAGGCTGGAGTGCAGTGGCGCGTTCTCGGCTCACTGCAAGCTCTGCCTCCCAGGTTCACACCATTCTCTTGCCTCAGCCTCCCGAGTAGCTGGGACTACAGGTGCCTGTTACTACTCCCAGCTAATTTTTTTGTATTTTTAGTAGAGACGGGGTTTCACCATGTTACCTAGGATGGTCTCGATCTCCTGACCTCGTGATCCGCCTGCCTCGTCCTCCCAAAGTGCTAGGATTACAGGCGTGAGCCACTGCACCCAGCCCTTTGCCCCCTCACTTTTAACATTTGCCATATCTAACATCGGACCCAGCCTAAAAAGTGGAGCTTGTTCCTTGCCTGTTCACACACCAAGCTGCATCTTCCGTTCAGTACAGGATGTAGTATGCTCCTGGCACTCTATGGACCAACAGAGCACAGCAGACACAAATAACTTCCATTACTGACCAACACTCTTTCATGCCTCTGCTTTTGTTCTGTAAAACGTTGTATAGCAAAGGGAGGCGTTGGAGGTAGACGCAGTTTTCTCAAATCATGAAGCCATTATCTTGAAGAGTTTGGCCTCAGGTATATTATTGTTGCCAGCTACATCCTTAAGTGATTTCAGGATTTCCAAGTATAGATTGTTTTTGTTTTGAACACTTGCTGTATCAGACAGCACAGGGTGAGTTATACTGCCTTAAAGCAAATTTAAATCGTAGCGGCTTAAAACAACATGTCTACTTTGATTCACGGGGCGCTCTGTTCTGCATTGTCTAATAAGGTCCTAAGCCAACAGAGTAGCAAGTCTTCGGAGAATTGTTCCTAGCTGTGGCATAGGGAAAGAGGGAAAGAGAGAAGGGGCCAAACTGAATAATACACCTGTTTCTTCTATTGACATCTCACGACTGAAGTACAGCACAAGGAAATTGTTGTTCTGACCTGTGTCCGGAAGGCAAAGATTTGGAAATATTTGATAAATGGTAATGACTATCATAATTGCAACTGCTAAATGAAATTTTTAAAATTATATCTTTATATTTTAAAAAATGTATTTAAGGTATTTATCTTAAAAAGACCTTCTCAATCTGAGGCAATCTAACAATAATGTGGCTCCCAGACAGTATTTTAGAAATAATATTCTGTACAAGTTTCAAGGAAAATATTTGTATTAGCCTTTTGTTTCTATTTCTTTGCTTGTGTTTGACACAATTCATCCTGATTGTTGTTTGCAAGTAAACACCTTACTTTCAGCAGCTTCAACAAATATTCTATTTTAGGGACCCCCCCCACCCTCCTCCAATGTGGGAAGTAGACGTTTGTTTTCACAGGCAGTGTGTAGAATTCATGATAGGCACTTTGCAACTGAACAAAAATGAATAAATAGTTTTATAATGGATAATATAATAAGATATTCTTCTTTTTCAAAAAAAATACACCTTTTAGAAATCCTGACAGATGCCAGCTATTGTCAGGAGAGCGTAAAAACTCTCAGTTGTCCAAACCTGTTCCTATCCCATATGCTAGTTACAACCTGTGTAAATAAATCTATTTATTACAAGTTCTCCTACAACATTGACTTGCTGGAAAGCTTATTAGGGCTGTTGTGCTGATTATTCTCGTCCTAAGTTAATTTCCCATTCCTGCTTCCCTTGATCTCTACGCAAAAAGGCTGCTACATTGAACTGCATTATCCAGGCTTCTTTAATGAGCACTGACAGGTTCAGCCAATGAGAGAAGCTGCAGGGTTGGAGGAGAGTTTGGTATGTTTTTTCTTCTCCTTCTCGGCTTAGCCCTGCATCTCTGGCAACATCGGTGTTCTTACACAATGATAGTGCTCACCAGCAAGCACCTCTTCTTTGGCTCCAGGTAATGTGATGTCCTGCCTTTGATCCTGATCCCTAGAGATGGCAGTGGCTTCCTGCCGGAGCTAGTGTCTAGGTGCTCAGAAGCCCATGATTGCTCCCGTATTTGTGCCCATAGCCCTGCATGGCCTCTTCATTAAAGTCTGTTTATTTGAATAATGTGAGGTGATTCTATTTTCTGCATTGATTCTGACAGACACAACTGCCCAAATCCAGTGACAAAGTGCACTTGCATATTCACTCATTTGTACATGGGTTAAATCATTCACTCACTGTTTTAAATAGAAAACCACCAAGCCCTAAACATGTGAAAAGCCATTACCAAATTCTGCTCTCTCTTTTTCAACTTCTAGAAGCCAAGTCCTCAACATTTATATTTCATGGTTACTTCCTAGGATTTCCTATGCTTCAAAGATTTACCAAGTTTGTTTGTTTGTTTGTTTGTTTGTTTGTTTTATGAAGCAGGCATTGTGTGAAGATATATCACATTTTGCTTATTCCAATTAGCTAGTTAGTGGCCAGTCAACCTTGGAACATCTGCCAAAGATCTCTTACTGTGATCAGGCTCCCATCCAATAATGAGATGGTCTGTTGCCTTTAAGCAAGTGTGTATGGTGTTTTCCAGTTGAAGTTATACATGCTTTGCTGAGTATTCTGCTGTGGTCCTAGGCTTCCCACCCGTGCTTCTCTACCCTTTGGGCATCTAGCTCCATCCTTGGTTCTGCTAATAGGGAGCTCCATAGGGAGACTGGATGGAGGGGGAGTGGCATGGGAGTGTTCCTTCCCATTTCTGCACACCTGAGATACATCAGCAATGACTATGCCCGGGATTCCAGTGGCAGTTCTGTGGGTCCTTCTGAGCTCCAGAAGTACTTACACTACGTGTGCAGCAAGTCCACCTCCTAGCTCTGCTCTCCACTCCACAGGGCCCCTCCCCAAGCATCTATGTATTAATCATTACAGTCTCTTTCCTATGGTCCCTTAAGCCCTAGGGGTGGTAGTTGCTTCATACAATTGTTATTGCATAATACTTCAGTGTTTTCTTGTGCCATTCCATTTCGGAATATCAGATTAACAATTCCTTATAATTGTTCTGTATACATGTGTGTTCTCTGTGTCCTGACTTGTCTCTGATTGATATATATGCCAATTACAAAATACATACAATTGTATGCAATAATTTTTTTAAGTATAAATAAACTTACCACCCAACAATGACTAGTATTAATATTTTTCCTATTTCTCCCAGCATTTCCTAGGTTTGACATTCATTGCTGGGATTATGTAAATAAAACCAATTTTGCTTTTCCATTTTAAGAAAATATTGGACAGGTAGTCAACAAATTAAAGATTGTCATATATGTCACATGCTCTCTTAAAATTTTAATGGGAAACTCTATAAGGCATCTCAAATTTATAGGCATCTCAAATTTATAGGCACGCTCATCCCAGGGGAAGTGATAGTGGGTACAGGAGAGCAGGAGGCTGCTGATGAGGACCATCATGCGTGGACAGAGAAACAAACAGAGCCACAATCAAAAGCCGAGAGGCAAATCCTCTGAATTCTTGGCTTTATGCAGTTGTGTACAAGCTGCACCTCACTTGAGTGCTTGGCACAGTGTTTTCTGGCTTGAGTGTCAGCTGGGATTGAATTACTGAATGATGTGTTATTACTTAAAGGCACTGCAGGTGACACATCAAAGTGTGTGTGGAAGGGTCAGGCTTACAGAAGATGTCTCATGTCACCCAGGGGTCATTTGGGACTGCAAAGATGGAGATGCCATGGTGGGGGTAGATAGGCCAGAGATTTCTCGGGTGCAGCTCTCTGAAGGATAAACGGGAGAAAGCAGGGGAAGGTGGCAAGTCTCACATTGCGAGGTAGGCTTGCACCTGTGAAAGGTAAAGGAAAGACAGAGTACTGGGGAGAGGAGCCTTTGCTCCAGCACGGTTGGGAGGAAATTACTCCCCATCACCCTTGGCCAGGCTGATGGGAGTCATCGAGTAAAATAAAATGTTAAGTCAAGAAACACGTAAGGCATGGCATGTTATCCATGCTCAATTGGCACAGATTAAAGTCTCAGTTAGTAGAAAATAGTCCCCCAAATTAGCACAGGATTTTTAAATGAAAATAACATATTTTCTAGCCATAAATGCATGTTTGTTAAAAAAAAAAAAACAGATAAAAAGAAGAAGACAAAATTATTTGCAAGCCCAACCACCCTTAACATTTTTGTGTGTTTCATGGACAGTTGTGCTGCATGCTTCTCTTTATTACTTCACACAGGTAATCAACACATCAGTTGTCTCGTTTTCCTCTAGCTTTAGATTCCCTGTAGGCAGCCTCTGTCTGTCCTGGATACATACATAATTCAGCATATTCTTTCATTTCATGCTCTTGCAACATAAACTCTTCACAACAAAAGTATTAGGGGTGAGCTACACAGAAATTATTGCAGACTTCACAAGGGATATGAATGAGATTGTTTATATTGCACATCCCACAGTAAAAAAAAAAATAAAAATCTCCATTAAAATTTATTTTCTCCCTCAAGTACAATATAGCATCAATCATATAGCTCCCTACATTTTTTCTATGCCCTTTCTTCATCAACATCCAGCTTCTTCTGACATATTTCTCAGTAACTTGCCATTTTATTACGCAAAACAATTTGGTTCTTCCTTAGCTGATACTCTGTAATTTACATGCCTAAACCCATCTTGATGAACTAAGTGCCTATGATTTAATAATATCTGTTTTCTGTAGAAGACAAACATGCAATACATGAGTATGCTTTGATGCCACTAAATCATTTTCTCTGAAGCATACATGAAGCTTTTGTCCAAGACTGATATCAGTAGATAATTTTTTCTTATCTCATTAGAAAAAAAAAAAAGAAAAAAGATCAACTTTTGTATTCTAGTGTACCTAACATTTTTACTCCATTATTTCACTTAAAATATACAGTGGGTATTATTCCAGGGAAATAATGGCTGGTGACTGGTGACATTTCTTTTTATGAGAACACTATGTAATGTCCTTAATAAGTCTACTTGGAAAGGGCATTTTATGTATACGTGTATGAATGTATGTAATTGTCTTAAAATCTTTAAGAAATACTTCTTATGAATTGGTATGTGTGATGGGGAGAAGATTTGCACATTTAGATTTTTTGTTATGTTAAATTCCTAGATTTAGAGTTGCTAGAAATGCTTTACCAATTTATGCTCTTACCAACAGAATGAAAACAAGCTGTCTCTTTGTACTCTGAAATTGATTTGGCTAGTCTTCATATCTTGACTTTCCATATAAATGTGAAAATAGTGTTTTCAAGTCCAAAATGTGTGTTCATATTTTGATGTGAATATCATTGAACCTACCTATAGTTTTGGTGAAAATTCTTATCTTCATAACATTGAGTTTTATTAATTTTCCCTATAAGGGCCTTGTATGACTTTTGGTAAATATATTCCTATCCATTTTTATTGGTTTTTAATTGCTACATGACACATGGCCACAAACATAGTGACTTACAGTGGCTCCGAAGTCTGAGCATGGTGTGACTGGCTTCTGTGCTCAAGGTTTCACAAGGCTGAAATGATGATTCCCACTGGGCTGTGATTGCTTCTGAGGAACAGAGCACTTCCAAACCCTCTCAGGTTATTGGCCAAATGTAACTTCTTATAATTTTAGGACTGAGGTCCCTGTTGCTGGCTGTCGGCCAAAGGCCACTTTCTGTCTCTAGAGGCAACACACATTTCTTAACATGTGTCTCACTTCATATTTAAAGATAGAAACAAATAATTTCTATCGCTTTTTAAAAATTATTATTTTTCAGACAGGATCTCACTCTGTCACCCAGGCTAGAATGAAGTGGCGTGATCAGATCATGGCTCACTGCAGCCTCAAACTTCCAGACTCAAGTGATCCTCCTGCCCCAACCTCCTGAGTAGCTGGGATTATAGGCACAGACTACTACATCTGGCTATTTTTTGTTTGTTTGTAGAAACGGAGTCTTCCTAGTTGCCTAGGTTGGTCTTGAGCTCCTGGCTCAAGGGATCTTTCTGCCTCTGCTACCTAAAATGCTGGGATAACAGGTGTGAGCCACTGTGCTTGGCTACTATTGTGTTGAATTCCCCTCACTTTGAATTTCTGACTTCTGTTTCTGACCATATACCTTGACTTAAAGAATCACATAGTTATTTCAGGCTCACTTCCCTTTCTTAAAAACAGTTGTACCCTACATAACATAACCTAATCTGATGAACAGAATCCCTTCGTATCTAAAGCCCAAGGGTTTGTACGGTGTATGTACATTGGTGTGCAGGAATCTTGGGGGACATTATAATTCTAACTATCGACCTGATTAAGAATTATTAATTATGCTACCCAAATCTTCTATAGCTATATAAATATTTTGTCCACCTGACAACATAATAATGAAAAGTATATTTCATATGTTATTCTATTGAGGATTTGTCATACTTTCCTCCATTAATTCTGTCTATTTTTTGTTTATTTACTTTGTGACTAGTTTTACATGCACAAACCTTTTGGATACTATAACAACCCAGGCACACTATACCCAAATTTCTGATATATAGGACTGTCTGCAAATAAAAAGAAAATAGCTAGTTGAGTCTATTATTATTAAGTACTGATCCTTCAAGTTTCTAAGATTACTTATGTTTTCCTTAAGGCACACATAAAATTAACAGGGATGTAGAAGACTTGGTCAAGTTTCAACCAAATTAAAATAATTGGATTTTATTCACTGTCCACCAAGCAACAGTAGAATGTACATTTTTTTTCAAGTGCACGTGAAACATTTGCCGAGTTATACTATGTTTCAGGTATAAAACAAACCATAATAAATTTATAAGTATTGAAGTAATACAAATATGTTATCTGACATAAGGGAATTAAACTTGATATTAATAACAGAGAGACATTTAGAAGATCCTCAAATTTCTGGAAAATAAACAATATACTTCAACATAAAACTAGAGAAAAAGAAAAAGCATGAAGGTAAATTAGGAAATATTTAAACTGATTGAAAATAAAAACATACCATATTAAATTTGTGGGATTCATCTAAAGAAGTGCTTAAAGGAAGACTTATATCATTAAAAGGTTTATATTCATACAAAAAAGTCCTCAAAATAAAAATAGATGCTTCTTCTTTAATAAGCCAGAAAATATAGTAAATTGAATTCAAAGAAAACAGAAGAAAGTAAAAAAAGATTAAAAACCAGTGAAATTGAAAGCAATAAATAGAAAAATAATTAATATCAAAAGCTAGCTCTTTACAAAGAGGAAAAACTTGTACACTTCAAGCAAGACTCACCAGTAAAAAAAGAGAGAAGACACAAATTACCAACATCAGGAATGAAATAGGTGATATGACTACAGATACCACAGATGTTAGAATAATTACATAAGCTACAAGTAATTATACTTTGTAAATCAATTTAGGTAAAGTGGAACAACTCTTTGAAAGACATAAACTACCAAAATTCCCCCCAAAAGAAATAAATAACCTAAAAAGTCCTATATCTCCTAAAGAAAATAAATGTTCAATTAAAACTCCAGGCCTATATGGCTTCCACCAAACATTTAATTAAAAAATAATATGAATTCCACACAATCTCTTCTTGAAAATTAAAGAGGAGAGAATAATTTGCTATATTTTTATAAGGCAAGAATTATTCAGATAAGGAAACTAGATGAAGATTTTACAAGAAAACAAAATTATGAACTAATATCCATTATGAACATAGGCAGAAACTTATGAACATAAGCAGAAACTTAGTGAATTGAATCCCTCTCCATATATAAAAATAACAAAATACACCATGGTTGGAATGCAAATATAGTTAAACCATTGAAAATCAAACTCTGTAATTAATCATTGTATTTAAATTACTATTATAGCAAAATCCCACAAACACAGTGGCTTACAACAAAACAAATTTGCGATCTTGCAGGTCTTTAGGTTAGAATTCTGGCATGGGTCTTACTGGGTTAAAATCAAGATGTCAGAAAGGCTGCATTTCTTTCTGGAGGGTCTAGAGGAAAAGCCATTTTCTTTTCTTTTTCTGCTTCTAGAGGTCACATAATCCTTTGCTCCTGGCCACTTCCTACATCTTCAAAGCAGGTAATGGCAGGTTGAGCCTCTCCTCACATCACTGACTTTCCCTCTGTGGTCACATCTCCCTCTAGCTCTGTCCTGCTACCTGCCTTTTCACTTCTACGGCCCCTCCTTTGCATCAGGCCCATCCACATATCAGAATAGTCTTCCTACCTGAAGGTTACCTGATTAACTATTTCAATTCCATCTGCAGCCTTAATGCTCCATTGCCGTGTAACCTAACTTTCTCACAGGTTCTAGAGATAGAAACATGAGGATCTTTAAGGGACCACTTTTCTGCCTTCCACAACCATATCGACAAACTAAAGAAGAAAAAAGCACACAGTCATCCCAATTAGTAAATAAAAAGCTTTTGAAAAATGCACTATCCATTCCTAATTATATATGTATAACTACAAACACACATACCATACATTACCATACATACACACACACACACACACACACACACACACACACACACAGAAACGCACACACATTTATCAGTAAACTAGGACTGGAGGAGAGCTTTCTTAACATGATGAAAAGTACGTAGAAAAACTTATAGCTAACATCATGCTTAATGTGAAAGACAATTATTTATCTTAAGATTGTAACCAATAGGAGTGCCCATTTTCATTTTTAAACATTGTATTAGAAATTCTAGCCATTCAATAATTTTAACACTTTCTGTTTTTTTAAATATCATAGCTGTCTATGCTAAAAATTCCAAGGGAACCATACAAATTTCTAGAATTGATAACTGAGTTAAGCAAGATTATAGAATTCAAAGTCAATTAAAAATGAAATCTACTGTATTTCTACATGACAGTAATAAAATCAGAAAAACAAATTTAGAAGTCTCATTTATAATAGCATCAGAAGAATAGTTATAAAGGTCAATGAAACAGAATAGAACATTCAGAAATAGCCATGCTTGTGTTTGGTTTATTTTTAACAAGGGTGTGGAGGCAACTTAAAAGAGAAAGAATAAATATTTTTAAAGAAGTGGTGGTAAAACGTCTATTCACGTTCAAAACAATGAACTGGAACCCATAACTCATACTACATACAAAAACTTCAAAATATGTCATAAACTTAGAAGTAAAATGCAATACTTATAGAAACATATAAAACATAAAACTATAGAAGAAAACATGTAAAAATACCTTTGCGTCATTTGATTAAGCAAAGGGTGCCTAGATACAACACAAAAAGCACAATTCATAGAAGAAAAATAATAAATTGGACTTCGTATTTCTTCTTAAATTGTTCTATTAAAGATACTACTAAGAGGCAGAAAAGATTAACCAAAGACTAATGGAAAATATTTGCACAAACATGTGCATGTAAATATTTATAGCAGCGTTATTCTTAAACTCTAATAACCAGATATAACATGATTGTACTTTAACCTATGAATAGATGAATAAATTGCAGTACCTTCATACAATGTACTACTGCTTAGCAATATAAATGAACAAACCACTGATACATGAAATAACATGGGTGGCTCTCAAATGTACTATGTTAAGTGAAAGAAGCCAAACTTACAACATTGTATAATGTATGATTCCATTATATGACATTATGAAAAAATAAAATTATATGGGTGGAAAACATCAGTGGTTGCCAGCTTTTGAGGGTGAGGGGAGAGGTTGACTACAAAGAGACAGAACCAAAATAATTTATGGGGGTCATAGAACAGTTATGCATCTTGATTATATTGGTCATTATATGACTATGCATTTGTCAAAACTCAGAAATAAAAAACCAAAAAAGTGATATTTGTATTTATATTTGTATTATTGATATTTATATTATATATAAATTTAAAAATAGACACACAAAAATTTTATTAGGCAATCAAGATGCCACGTGGACTGATATATCTTCTCATTTGCTTTGTATATTAAAGTCTTTTAAAAATTTATATATATATACATATATAATTGATGAATGAGTTTACAATATTGATTCATTATAGCAAAAGCTGCCTATTTTTCAATAAAAACAATTACTGAGAATGTTTAGATAGATAGTATAAGAAAACAGAATGACGATTCACTGGTAAATTAAAAAGGGTATATTATTATAGCAATACATCACTTATCCACGACCACTTTCTGCAGTTTCAGTGACCTGTGACCAATGGCAATCTAAAAATATTATATGAAAATTTCCAGAAATAAACAATTCATACATTTTAAATTGCTTGCCTTCTAAGTAGCATGATAAAATATCATACCATTTCACTTCATCCCACATGGGATGTGAATCATCCTTTTGTCCAGCATATCTACACTTTAAAAACTACCTGCCTATGAGTCAGTAGCTGACTCAGTTATCAGATTTACTATAACAATGTCACACTGCTTGTGTTTAAGTAACCCTTATTTTACTTACCAATGATCCCAAAGCACAAGAATAGTGACGCTGGCAATTCACATATTCCAAAAAGAAGCTGTAAAGTGCTTCCTTTAAATGGAAAGGTGAAAGTTCTCAACATAAGAAAAGAAAAAATGTGTATGTTGAGGTTGCTAAGATTGCTAAGATTGTAAGATTGAATACCCTATTTTTAAAATTGTGAAAAAGGAAAAAGAAATGCATGCTAGTTTTCATGTTGTAACTCAAACTACAGACATTACAACTATAGTGTGTGACAAGTGCTTGACATGAAAAAGGCATTAACTTTTGGGGTGAAAAACATGAACAAAAATATGTTCCAAATGACAATAATTGAGTTCAATGCTATCTGCAATTACAAATATCCATTGGGGGTCTTGGAACATATCCTCCATAGATATGAAGGAAGTGTTGTATATAAACTATACTAAAATTATTATATTTATTTTGAGCCAACAAGTGTTTGTGAATGTAAAAAACAATTATAAAGCATAATAATAGGGATTAAGTTACAGGATGTTCTTTTTATAGAATTGCTTTGAGGATTAACATTTATAATGGTAAAGAGAATTATTTTTAAAAGTCATATTTACTTTTGGTTTTTAAATGTAAATAAGTTCTTTAATCTTTTAAGAGTAAGTTTTTTTTTTGGATTTTTTTTTAATATCTTGTGCTAAGGAAAGAAAAGCCAATTGTCCACTTGGTGTCTTGCTATGTGAAAATTTCATTAAGAAGAATAACATTAAAATCATATTTTAGAATCATCCATAATCAATCTTCTCTGATCTAGACAAAATTTAGCATACATTCCTAAAGAATAAAGTAGTAAAGAAAATGAGAAAATAAAAATAGAATTTTCCATTACTCAAACCAATTAAATTGTTCCTTTGCCATAATTATTGGACCAAAATTTATAAGCAAATTTCTCTCTATTGAGTGTATAGACAGATGCAATAATATCAGAAGTAAAAAAATATAAAACAGTAATTATTGCAATAATCTTAAGTCTGCTTATGAAAGTATTTCAGCAGCATTTTTCTTCAAGAAAAATAAAAAGATTCAGTTTGTGGCTATGCTTCCATAAAATTAAAATGACTTACAAAAAGTATATACTAAGAGCTACTTAGGTTTGGGAACTATCGTGGAAGTCCAAGAAAGTGGTTTGTCTATGGTAAACAAGATGAGAGACTGTGAAAGGTACTTACCTGAAAGTAAAACAAAAATAATTAATGATGGATAAGAGGGAAATGGGGAAGAACAAGAGAAAGACAAAAAATGATACCAAGAAAAAAATGGCAATTTCTGCCCAAGGAGACTAAGGCTTTTCCTGTTAAGATGGGAGTGGATGCACCTGCCCATGAGGCACATGGGAGAGGAATCATCACCAAAAACAAAACCAGCACTCTGAGAGGAAAATCAAATCAAATCAAAAAGAAAAGAAAGCAAATGTTAGAGAGGTGACCAGCAGAATCTACCAGAAAGTGTTTAAGACATACTAATTCCTATTATTCTCTATGCTACTTTTCCTGTTGGGTTATCCTAAAAATGAGAATTTCTTATTAATCTCCCATTGGAATTTCTGTACTTCAGAACACTTTTCATATTGTTTTAGCCCATGGAAAAGAGCAATGCCCATATTCTTGGCATTTACTTCTTGTTCTGTAAAGTCCTGAGTCTGACAGTCTCTTTTTTTCTTTTTTGAAATGGAGTCTTGCTCTGTTTCCTCCCCGCCCCAGAAGTTCAAGTAATTCTCCCACCTCAGCCTCCCGAGTAGCTGGGATTACAGGCACACACCACCATGCACAGCTAATTTTTGTGTTTTTTTTGGTGGAGACAGGGATTCACCATGTTGGCCAGGCTGGTCTCGAACTCCTGACCTCAGGTGATCTGCCTGCCTCAGCCTCCCAAAGTGCTGGGATTACAGGCGTGAGCCACTGTGCCCAACCCAGTCTGTTATCATATGTCCTTTATGAAATCATCTAGTTTCTCTCAATGACAAAATAAGTGGCCTAAGTTAAATTAGCTCTAACTTCTTTCTAATTATAATGCATAATAATAACATATGTTAATGTTTCTTCATTAAAACTACTCTGTGATTAAATATTTGCTGAGTGGATGGAATTGGTTAAGATTACTGGTGCCTAGGATTTGGGGTTGAAAAACTAGTTGGATGAATGGTGATGCAATTTACTGAGATGAGAAAAGCTGACAAGACAAACCTATAGGAGGTGGAACACTCTTCTGGTTTGTACAGTTTGAGATTCCAGTGGGTATCCCTAGTAGCCTCCAGGTGGAGATGGTAGTAAAGCAGTTATAAGTGAGAATCTGGAGCTCAGGAAAGAAGTTTAAGTAAAAGACTCACATTTTGGAATTTCAGCTTATAAATAATTTATGGAGCCATTTGTGATGTTTAAGCAGAATAATTTTATAGGGTGGTATGCAAATACCAATCAGAAAAAATTAATGTAGCTCAGCTTATTGATAATGGGAAAGAGTAAAGTAAAGAGTAATAAAGATGTCCCCTAAAAGTAAAATAATTTTTAAATGGCATATCCATGTGATAAAGAAGATGATAATGATCTTAATAATAGCATAATAATAGAAATAGCTGATATTCATTGGGATGTTACTATATACTGGTGACTAAGAGTTTTACTTATCACGTTTTATCCATGAGGCTGCTATAACAGAGATGCTAAGCAACTTGCTCAAAACATACAGTCTTAGAAGGTAGAGCTCTCAGCATACTTCACTATCTACCTATTTGTTTGCTAGTATCTTGTTGCTTGTGTGGGATCCTAGCTACAAAGGAGTATATACGTTCCTCTGATTTAGATACTACAGACGAGTCTCAGCTCACTGTATCTCCCTGAAGTTCTGCCCTAAAGATACGATGCAAAGTGTCTCGACACAATTCCCTATGCCATTTCTCTAAGATTTTTAGTGCATTAAATATGAAAACCAGAAAGAGACAATTTTTTCTTTTCTTCATTTTGACCCTGTCATATCCTTCCTCAAGGTCAGGATGATTTAGTTACTTACTTAGTATTGTATGCATTTAAAATGATAGATATAAGCATTTGTAATAAATAGAAGCAGCTATGTTAAGATATTAAGTAAAATACTTATAGTATAAGCAGTTTGAGTTTAATTTTAAATTTTTAAAAATCCACAGGAATAAAAGGACTAGAGAGAACAGTAACAAAATAATCCAAGTTAGCTCTTCATAAAGGAAATCTGGGTGATTTAAACAATTCTCCAAGTATTTTGAGTTTTTAAGATATTTTACACTGAGTATTTATTAATTCTATCTTATAAAGTTATTTTAAAAGAAGAAGACAACTTGCAGTTACCTGTTATGAATAGCTAGAGATGAGTTACTAATAGCACAGCTTTGGCAATTGCTGAGGGAAGGCAATAAGACAAATTGACCACCTCATGAGAAAAATTAAATAAATAGAAGCCTCTGCTGATGGATGGCATCGATTGTGTTTTATTGGAATGAGGTATGCTGAGCCCAGTTGGCCAGTGTGTAATCAGCTCCATCGTTACCTCAGTGTTAATAAATATTTGACTTCTACACTTGCACACTGCTACAGTGGTCTTACTGCATCATCAGCCTTGCAGGCAAACACTGAGACCTTTGACCTTTCTCATTGATTGCTTCCTGTGTTTATGGGTCATATTCACACAAAAGCCATCCTCACTGCTTTTTAAGAAAAAAGCATTCAGTTTAAATCAATAATGCAAATGTGATCATTTTAAAAGAATCTCATGAAAAGATTTATTGATTAAAGGAACTGCAGAGAATCGTCGCTGTTCTGTTGTTTTGTAAACATTTAAACTAATGTGTAGTAGAAATAATACAATGTCCTGTACAGACTGGAGCAAATAATGTGATGAAATTAGAGAAAGAAGAAATTAAATAGTCATCTTTTAGTTGGAAACCATACTAGATTTGAGCACATTGTGAGGTTGGGATAATATCTTGCTCACATGTTTTTTATGAAGAAAATGATATATGTAAAAAAAATGGCATATGGCCTGCCTATCAATATTCAGCTGATAATAATCACTTCCATTTTATCTCTACCTTCTTCAGGTTGTTTTTCCTCATGTTTTTCTTCTCTAGAAAGTTTTTTTTTTAAATCAACAACAACAAAAACCACCTGCATGCTGACCCATCCTTCAAGCTGCCTGCTCTGTCTGTATTTCCCATCTTAACATCTCTATTCTTACAATTGCTCAGGTCAAAGGCTCAGAGTCGTCTTGACTTCCCTTTTGTCTTAACACTTCACAGGCAACACATCAGCAAATATTTCTGACTCTGCATTTAAAACTCATTCGGAATCCAGACTCTGCTCGCTCATCCTTTGATTCTCACTACATCCCGGTCTGACACCAGCGTGTCTCCCCTGGGTTATTGCAATATGCTCCTGGTCGTCCTCCCTCAGCCCTTGCCTCACTTCTCCTGTTCCAAATAAAGCAGCTAGAAGAGTCTTTATAAAACAGGAGCTATGTATTTTCACTCCTCTTTCTAAAACTCTCCCATGTCTCACTGCTTCATACCAGATAAAAGCCTTATCATAGCCTATAATGAAGGATTTGATTTATATCAAAGCCTTATCATAGCTATAATGAAGGATCTGATTCCAAATTTATACTTTATTTCTGGGCATCGTGTGAGTTTCTCTGCCTTTTTCAGCACTGAAGATTTATGGGGAAGGAGGAGGCCCGTTGAAGAACTGAGGAGAGAACAAGGAAGCAAATGAAAAAGTAAAAGCGGACAAAGTGGAAGGAGAGGCTGGTGCTCTTGTCTCCGCTCTATTTCTCAGGCTTGTGCAAAAGCCCAGACAACCTTAAAATGCCAGCGTGAGACCAAGCTTCAAAATTTCCGCTTCTCATGAACAAGAACATTGACAAAAGAACAGATAGAACTCTGCCACTGTGTGGCAAAAATCTAAGACTTTTTTCATGATACGAGGCAGATCAATCCACCTGAAATAAGACCTCAGGTGCTGACACATGGCTGTGTTTCCAGGCAGGGCTACTCAGTGCTTCAGAAAATAAATGCAGAGTGTGCGCGCATGTGTATGTGTGTGGTGTAGTGGGTATGTCTTGCGGTGTATGGTATAATGCCTGTGTGTGGTCTGGTGTGTGTCTGTGTCGTATATCGTGATGTGTGTGTGTGTGGTGGCGAGGTGTGGAGTGTGTGTATGTGCATGTGTGTGGTGGCATGGTGTGGTGTGTGCGCACACAGGCATGGTTGTGTGTGAGGCAGACAGTGAGTGTGCAGGAGATTCTAGCCATACTCTTTAGCCTTACCTAATGTGGATGAGTAAAGGCTGAGGTTTTGGGGGCTGTGGGAGTGTTGGCTGCCATACGAGGAGCCTCACTTCCTTTCTGAATGATGAGTAGAGACTGCACTGGCATTGCCAGACCCTTCCCAAACACTCTCTTTGAGTCTACTTCTGAAATGCGGCATGGATTCAAAAGTTTACCAATCCAGAAGGAAGAATAAGTTCTGGTGTTCTTTGCACAGTAGGGAGATTACAGCTAATAACAATGTGTTGTATATTTTAAAATTGCTAGAAAAGAGGGTTTTGAATGTTAACACAAAGAAATGATAAATGTTTAAAGTGATGGATGGATATGCTAATTGCCCTAATTTAACCATTATACAACATATACACACATCGAAAAATCACACTGTACCCTTTAAATATGTGCAATTTTATGTGTCAATTATAAATTTTAAAAAGGTAAAAAGAAAAAGAAACTTAAAGTGAGAAAACCAGGAACACATTAGGCTGGTTTTGAATTTCTACTTCATGAATTAAATAACAGAAAACAACTTAGCCGTAGTTAAAAGAGTTTTGAAGGAAAGAGGTTTGAGCACAATTCACTATAATCCCACACATGAAAGGACTGAAGAAATACATTAGTTTTCTGATAAACATATTGACTGTGTACCTAGTCAATTAGTAAATAAAACCATGAACTCACAAATGTAAAAATCACTGACAAAGGAGTTATGGGGATCATAACAGCCTTGTAGACAGAGCTAAGTCAATTATAAAGCATAATGAAATAACATACTTAAGAAGTTAAAATGTGAAAGCAATAAATACATATAAAAGACTAGGACAAAATTCCTGAGCTCCCCACACCAGCCCCAGCTCACTACTGGTTGCAGGTAATGGATATATGAACTAATAGAGCCAAATACAAATCATCCCCTGGGCTGTTTTTCTTCGTTTAATGGAAACTGAGAAAGGAAGTAATAGAATGTGGTGCCCATATTCCCCGCTGAATGGAAAAAAACCATCTGTGAGGATGAAGCCAACAAGCTGAGAGAAATAGATACAAGAAATGGTGCCAAAGAGAGTCCCCATGTCATCTGTGCTGTCTTTGGGGCCTTGTGGCAACACTCTTGTTTCAGAGTATGGTCATCTGAGCCAGGAAAGTCCTCTTTGTACTTAAACTAATTCAAGTAATGATTGTTTCACTTGTATCCAAAGCACAGGGACGAAGACAAAGTACTACAGATCAAACTAAAGGACTTACGGCCTTCGAATTACCGAAGGGAAAAAATATATATAAAAGATAACATATGCAAAAATCAAAATTTTGAAAGCAAAGTTATTAACATATTAGCCTAGAAACAGAAAAATAAAGTTTAAAGGTCAAGTATAAAAAAAATGGGCAAATGCAAATGGATATAGTGTATTACTGTGAATTTTTTAAAAATCAGGAGTAGAAATATTAAAAAGCAAAATAAGGTTTTGGGCAAAAGTATAAATGATTTAAATAATCATTTGTATTGATGAAAAGTTAAATACAAAAAGCTGCTATGAACACGTATATTCTGTTAAATTTTACTTAGAAATACTTGAAGTTCATTTTTTTCCTTTTTCTTTATTCCAGTAAATGCTGGTGAAAACCCAGTGGTAATACCAGACCTCATCACACTCCTCTCAGTCTTTAAAAAATCATATAGACAAAATAAAGGGGATTGTAATAATGCAATTGTAAATATCATTCACATATGTGCATATTTATATCTAAGTCCTAAAAATACAGAATACATTTTTATTTCAAGATTAGTGGAATAAAGGAACACTTTATAAAGAATCAATGTTTAAAATTTCATACAGTTTATCTAAAATGAATCACAAGGGTTTAGTTACCATTTTGCAGCCAACAAGTTCAAAAGGCAGTATGGGAACTGCCTCTCACATTGTAAAAATTCCATCACCGAAGGTTTTCTTTCTAATGTTCTTTCTCATGAAATCGATTTCAAAGGTTTTCACTGTAATTTTTTCTCTCCTAGGTGAGAGATGTTTATAATTAAAAGACCCACAAAATCTTTATCCAAAAGAATTCCAAGGGCTATTTCTACCGTGAGCTCTATCCAGGCTATCAAAGGGCCAAGGTGCGGTAATGAAATGAGCTTTGACTTTCAAACATGTATTTGCTCACTCATCTACCATGCATTCAACAAATATTTATTTTGCACCGACTAGGTACCAGATTCTATTATTTGCCAGTGAGCATACAAGTGAACAATATAGGTTTAGCATCAATTAAATTGTCATTTAAATGTACATTGTGAAAATGTTACGAAGAAAAAGAACAAAGGGACATCGGTAAACATCTAAACCTCAAAGACCAAAAGCAGGCATGCAGTCACAATAATGGAACTTAGAAACATCCCAGCCAGGAAACTTCTATTTTCATCATAACAAAGAGTTACTTAAATTCTCTGAGCTGTGATCTCCTTATCTATAACACTGGAATATCAGTGTCTACGAATGAATGCAATAATATAAAGCAATTACTTGCCATAATAGGTGTGCTATGAATGTCTAACCCCCCTGCTCTTTAACTGTTCTTTAGAGAGTGGGCAGAAATGTACGCAGCCTTTGAAGCCAAACAGAAGGGATTCAGACCCAGCTTCACTGTGATTCAATTTCTTTGTCACTGCTATATAAAGTGGGGGTCAACTATTAATTTGAATCATGTAAATTTGTGGATATTTGACTGTCATTTGACTTACAACGACAATTGCACGTGGTTCGACTGTTAACCTACCTTGAGGAGTTCTGAGGATTCGACGGTGTAACATAAAACGACAGCCTAGTTTCTGAAACAGAGTACGTGCTCAACATATAATAGGTTTCCTTTCTTTTATATCCATGAATAGTTTACAAAAAAATGAAAGTTTATGATTGCATGAAAATATTCTCAAAATTTATGTGCTTTTTTTTTTTTTTTTTACTCTCAAGCCATTTAACAGGTTAAAGCAGAACATGGAATTAGAGTCAGCTCAAGAGAGGGGTGATGGTCTGAGTCACCAGGTGTGAGGTCAGTGCCCTCCACATGCCCAAGTCCACACTTCGTTGGCATCTCAGAAGAAGCTAAGGGTAGCTGAGGGTCCATTTAGCTTCTGCCCCGGGTGGCAAGTCTAACATGCAGGAAAAATACACACAATATAAATTTTAATTACCAAACAGTGGGTAATGAAGACTCCTCTTCAGTTTTGATATGTGAAGGGAAGGTTTCAGTATGCAGATGTCCTTGTCTTGAGTCATTAACTAAAGACTGAGTCCTTCATTTAAAGACTTGTGGTTCATACAGGCACAGGTGTAGGGATATGGGAGTATTACCGAGGAAAGAAAACAATCCACCCAAGTCTAACATGTAGTCATGGTTGCTAGTCCTGCTAAGCTAGTAAAGCTCAAGTATGGAGCCTCATTCATTAACAGTAATGCCATCTGTAGACCGTGCTTGTCAGCAGAATGCAAGGTATAGGGTTGTGGCCTCCTCTGTATGAATGCATCTAGCACAGGCGTGGGGCATATTTGTTGGTCAGATAACTGAGCAGTAAAAACATGATTTAATGACAGTCTGGCAAAGCTTCCCAGATGCATGGATATTGAAACAGAATTAAATTTATTGGAACAAAGTGTAAAGTATAAGAGTTCAATCTTTATCAACCTGACATGTCAGCTGCACTGGTCTTATTACTGGTACTAGGGGCTAGAAAAGGGAAGAGCAGTGATTACGAAGAGAGACCCATCATGTCCCAGCGAACTAGCTCAATTTGCCATTTTCACGAGGCCTGGAGACTCTAATCAGTCACAGATGTTCAATATATACCACATCTAGTACCTCATCTCCTTATAATGTTTTCTTATGAATTGGTCGATATACAATATAAAGCAATGTAGGAGTTAATTCAGACTGGGGGATAGGAATTGCTGAAAATATAGTCTCCTTTTTTTAAATAGCTCATTGAGAACTTAAACTCAGTTGTAAATTTGAATATCCATATTCCTCATTTCCCAGGACCAGCCCCCCTTCCCCACACATGGCTAAGACATATGTTTTTATGAAGATTTTACAAATCAACTTTGTGTCTTCCATGATCCTGTGGAGGGCTGGGAGAAGCTCGGTGTTTCATCTTCCTCACAGTAATACTATTTTTCCAGTTTTGTTTTTTTCCCCCAAGTCTCGTCTCATACACAATCCTGGGATTCCTCAACTTGAGCAAATGAATCATCTCCTCCTTCAGAAAGAATATTAAAGACCACAGCAGATTGATATACCCTTTGGTCTCTAGAGGAGATGAACAATAAAAAGTAAGAAAGAATTTCTGAGTGGAATGCATGAATCTCAAAATATGTTTCCCAAAAAAGTAAATGACAAGTGCATGAAACTATAACTTTGAACTATTTTCCCCCTGCAAAATCAGCAATTTGAAATGTTCTGCAGTAAGAACTTGGTTAACTCATTATTGATCTATTGTGTGAAATAGAAGTCATTATAAGATGTTTGGAAATAGTTTTAATGGTATCAGAAAATATTTAATATTTTAATTTAATATTTTAATATTTTACTTACCTTTAGTATAAAGAGTAAGTGAAAAAGATGGATTAAAACATGTATAAGTTTCAATTCCAGATGTGTCAAATAAATGTACACACACAGAGAAAAATTCAACAAAATATCAACAGTGATGAGTTTCATGTGGATTTTATTCATCTTCTCTATTATTTTCTGTATTTCATATTATGTTATAATTAAGAAAATGTAGTTCTATTTGCATTACCTAATTTTTAATCCAAAAGGCTTTTATGAAACACTTCCTGTAAGTGTGTATACTTTCCAAATAGTTTTAGCAGTTTCTAAAGAAAGATAAAATAATAATATAAAATACTATTAATTGCTAGGAAATCAATAAGTCAAGAACAGCACATCCCTAGGAAATGAGAGCTTGTTTTTTTTTTTAAGTTTTTCCCACTACAAAGTAATAATTACTTTACATTTTTTACATACTAATTAAGGCCCAAGGGCAGGGCATTTCTTAGCAGCTAAAAACTATCAGGGTTAACTACAGAGAACAAGCCTTTCCTTCATTGCTTAATTATATCAAATCAATTTAGTTTTCAATTTTTGCAAGGCAGAAATGTCTTAGTGAGGCCAATTTAACATATTTCTGCACATTTGCTTGTAAAATGAATACAAGTCATACTGCATGGTGCCATTACTTTTACAACATGACAGATACAATATATCAAAAATATTGGGTTGTAAAGAAAGCAACAAATATTTCAAGACATATTTAAAAGAGAATTAATTTCTACTGATAAAATATTAGTTCATAGGAGAAAATGCCACCATATGAAGCGATAAAAAGAAAAAAGAAAAAAATCAGTTCGAAAGTGGCCTGAGGTGGAGGTAGAGAAATGAGCCGCAGACAAGCCTGCCTGATTGAATAGATATCCTGTCCTTTCAAGGAACAGCAGATTCAGAGAGGTGAGAGAAGGAAACAATCACATTTTCCTTTCTGTTATTCCAATTTCAATTAAGATGACAGATGAGAGAAAGGTCTACAGAAATTTAATTTTGGTATTGTTTTTGCTACTTTTGCAGCAGTAGTACTTAACTTCTTTTAATTTATATTTCTTGCAGGTAACTTGACCCAGGATGGTAGAAAGGCATCCTCTCAGGTGCCAGCCTTTGCCCCAGGGCAAGTTCCTGAGGGCGCTGGGTTGAAAAGGACCAGGGTACAGTGGTTTCCACAAGATAGAGTGTCACACCAACATGGTGACCTGTGGTCATGGGTGCATAAAGGAAGTGTGGCACCATGCAGATGACTAGTTTCCAACACCAGACAATCATAGCTAAGGTTAAAGTATTATACAGTTTGTTCTATTTTTTTCTGAAGTATTGAGCTTCAGGAAAAAATGGGAAAAGCACACGTGCAATAAAGTCTAAACAAACTTAAGTATGCAACTTGGTGATATGTTACAAATGTATATGCCTGTCTAACAGCCACTCAGACCAAGATATAGACTATCACACAATCCAGAAGCATCTTTCCTGCTACCCAGTACTCCTCTCCCAAAGTGAGTACTATTCTGAATTGCATCACCACTGACTAATTTCACTTGTTTTTCAACTTCATAAGAGTAAAATATATTCCATATATTCATTTAAGTCTAGGCTTTCTCCTTCAAACTCATTACTGTCAAATTCATGTATGTTGATGCATAGCAATTTGTTATTTTTTATTACAAAAATACATGCCATAATTCATTTGCACATTCTGATGGTAAAAGACAGTTTGGTCATGTTCCTTTTGATCTATTATCAATAAAGCTGCTGCAGATAGTCTTTTACATTGCTTTTTTGCACATATAGAGGCATTGCCATTAAGGATATGCCTAGTTGAATTATTAGATTATGGAGAACACATATGTTCAGCTTAATAAATACCAACAAAACGTTTTTTGAAGTGGTTGTACCAACGTATTATGCCAATGTGTAATGCTCCAGAGCCTCACCAACACCTGATATTCTCGGGTTTCCTGTCTCTTTATTTTTATCTGGGTTTGCTTATTATTTTGTTTTCATTTTCAGTTTTATCTGATGAGTATGTTAATATCTCATGGTTTTATGTTATTTGCCTCTGATGATTAATAAAGAACATTTTTATATACATTTTTCCATTTGAATATAATTGTTTTTTCTTTCTTTTGTAGGAGAATAACATACATAGCCCATTGATCCAGTTGAGAGGGAGTTTTAGGCTTTGCTACGACTAGACTTTTTAATGCAAAGCTCTTACTCCTATACTATAGCCTTAACCCTAGCATATAGGCCTTCTAGAACTTTAGCCGATTACCTGGAGAATTTACCCTGGCCCCTCTATTATGACCTCCCTCAAATTCCAAATTGTGCCTCTTAGCGCTACGTGTCTGAAAGTCGTTTTTCAGCTCTTGAGGTCATAAGAGGCTGCTTTTTTATTGTCAGTGGAGCCTGGCTCATTTCTCCTCTCTCTCAGTTCTCTCTCACCATGTAATCTCTGCACAGACCAGCTCCCCTTTACCTTCTGCCATGACTGGAAGGAGCCTGAGGCCCTCACCAGATGCAGAAGCTGGCACCATGCTTCTTGTACAGCCTGCAGAACCGTGAGCTTAACAAACCTGTTTTAAGTAAATTACTCAGTCTCGGATATTTCTTCATAGCAACATAAAATGGACTAAGACGTGTATGGAAACTTGAAATACAAGAAGAGAATATGAAGAAGTAAGACTAGAAAAGGTACAAATCAGAGTAAGAAGAGTCTTTTATGCCATGGTAGAGAGTTGAATGTTATAAACCATAAGTTAAGGATAATTGGCAGTGATGTAAATAATGATATTACTCTGGAAGTATTGGTAAATGAATGCTTTGTGAAAATCTAGTTCAGAGCCTACTGCTATAACAGTGAATGTATGGTTGAAAATAAGTGAAAAATCAGTTTATTACTCTTTTTCAGCTCTCTGTCCTCATGCACTTGAAGACGTAGAATTGTGTGTTCATAGAGTTAATTCAATGCACATCCCTCAGACAATAGAAAGCATACTAATTAAAACACTGAGAGCATAACATGCTGTATATTCTTGTTAAACTTGTTGTCGCTTTAATATTCTTGATTAGCTCCCAGAATAATCGTTAAACTGCTCTAAGAAATTTTGAACTCTATTACTGCAAAAAGCCAGTATGATTACATTAATATAATGCTAGGAAAAAACACAACCATGTACATATAAGAAACAAAAGGATAATAATACATTAAAATAAACTTAAATAAACACCAATCTACATGAGACAAAACTTCAAATGTAAGAAAGACAGTCATGTTTTTAAAAGGCGTATATATTAAACTGTTTCTTGTAGTTCATTGGTTCTTGGTGGTGGCAGTGAGACTTCATCAAATCACCCAGGCAGCTTTTTCAGTTAAGCAGCACGACTCACTCACCACCCGACCACACCGACATTCTGGCATGTTTAGAATGCCTAACATTCAGAATTCTGAATTTACTTAGCTTGCCTAAAATTCAGAATTCTGAATTTTGAATTCCATAGTTCTGAGACAGGACCAGAAATATACCTTTTAAAGAAATATCTCAATAGTTTTATGTTCGCAGTTTCTGGATCACACTTCAGGGCACACTAGCCCAGGAAGTGAAGTAGGGAGATTGCTTGAAAATCACTACATACTACTGTCCATGCTATAGATAAGGAAACAGGTACAGACACGTACATATTCTAAGGTGTTCAACTGCTTTAAGATCCCTCCTCAGCCACATGAAAAATATAGAAAAAAACAAGAACATGGTTCTATGGAATGAAGATAACTCAAAATATGATTATGATGATATGATTATAAACGTATGATGTGTATCAACCTGATTTGTATAAAATAAAAAGGAGACACAGCAACCAATTTGATTTGGTCTTAAATGTTTATATATATTGGCATTCACACTGAAAATGGAAATTTACGATAGGTTGAGTAACTATGTTATAAAATTAAGAAAAAATACAGGAACCTACTATGTAGCATATGCAGCAGAAATAGTAAAATGTGCATAATAAATTCATGATAGTATGGTCCACATAAAATGTATGCAATTTCTGTATTTGAGGTTGTCTGCTGAGGTTGAACTCCTGGTTTTTTTTAATATGATGTGGAGATACTGGAAAAAATACTGTTGTAAAGTTGTTAGTAAATTTCTATATTCCAAAAAGTAAAATTTTGAATTTACCTGTGGAGCAGAATGCTTTTCTGTATTGTGTAACAAACAGTAATTTTTATTGGAGAAATATGGAGTGTTAGTCCCATATCTGACCGCACTTGTTTTAATGATACACAATTGACCAAGAGCAAAGAATCCAAAGGTTAATACTGACCAAAAGATAGATTAAGGAGAATTAAACAGATGTAAGTATTTAGAAAATAGTAACACATAAAATATAATGCAAAAATGAAACCAGAAAGAATGTTCAAAGAAGATGTACATTCACATTTAATTAATTCTTAAATGTACAGCCGTTTTCTAATCATGAGTTGATTTGTGGAAAAAAAGATTGATATGTTTATTGCAGCATTATTTACAATAGCAAAGACATGGAACCAACCCAAATGCCCATCAATGATAGACTGGATAATGAAAATGTGGTACATATACACCATGGAATACTATGCAGCCATAAAAAAGAATGAGATCATGTTATTTGCAGGGACATGGATGAAGCTGGAGGCCATCATACTCGGCAAACTAACACAGGAAAACCAAACACTGCATGTTCTCACTCATAATTGGGATTTGAACAATGAGAACACATGGACACAGGGAAGGGAACAACACACTCTGGGGTCTGTTGGAGGGGTGGGGGCCAAGGGGAGGTACAGCATTAGGACAAATACCTAATGCATGTGGGGCTTAAAACCTAGATGACGGATTGATAGGTGCAGCAAACCACCATGGCACATGTATACCTATGTAACAAACCTGCACATTCTGGAACTTAAAGTAAAATAAAAATTAAAATTAAAACATTTGCGTATTATAAGCATTATAAACAAAATTAGCATGCAAATAGACCAGAATAAAGTTGCAGACAATTAACGTGTTCTTATAATAAGAAAAAAACATAAACCAATAGAAAAATGGGCAAAATATAAGAACAGGCAAAACATAGAAGAAAAAACTATTATTTAAAAAGCATTTTAAATGTTTGAACTTACTATTGAAGGAAGCATGAATAATGATGATATTGGGGTAGAATTTGCTTCCTTTCTATTCTGCTAATTTTTTAAATGGTAATACCTAAAGCAAGAAAGGATACCAGCACCATGCTCGTATATTAGATTAACTTTTCTGTTAATATGCAAACAATCAGATAAATGCACACAGATATCTATGGAAGGACATTCAATGGGGCACTACATACAAGATAAAATTGAATATTTCACAATATTTATGGTCAATTTCTAACCCATAGCAATATAAAGCTTACAAGCAAGACTTCATCCATACACTCTTTTATTGAAGAAAATTTACACTAGATCAAAAGAACAATAGAAATCCTAAGAACAACAGCAACAAAACCAAAACAAACCATAAATAACATGTCTGTTCAGTCATTTTCAGATGATTACTTTGACTCCTTGTTAAAAACGCAGATCACTGGGGATACAGAGCCTACTGTAAATCCACAGAATCAGAATATCTAGGTGTTGGGACTAGATATCTACTATTTAAGAGAAGACCGCATTTTTTTAAAGACACTAAAAATAGATAATCAATGCAGAATTTTTTTTTTCCATTTCGTGGCTCTAATTATTTCTGAGGCATTCTACACTGCAATATCAATGACCTGGAATCCAGGTGGGACTCTGATCCTAGGACCTTAATTATAGTAAATCTATCTGCTTTCATTCATGGTCCCTAGCAGGGATTGTGTCTTGTGAGTGACCTTTACTGTGAAGAGAATAGCATCCAGAGAATCTTCTTTGTCTAATAAGCCATCTGGAATGAAGCCTGGCATTTATTTTTTAAAAGAAAGCCTTTATTTAATCCTGTCTGGGGATAGTTCAGGCATGTTTGAGGTATCTGTCTCTTATTAACGCATCAGGAAAGAATCGTAGTGAGGAGCTTGCAATGACCTTCTGAGCATGGAGTAACACGTCCAGCAATTCACTCTGTCCACAAAACAATTTGCTTTGGGCCACACTTAGAAGTTGGTACTATCATTGTAGTCTATTTGCTTTAGAGTGATGAAGTGTTATGAAGACAGCTTAGATCTGATCTTCTTAAGTTACTTAATACGAATGAAATAAATGAAAGATTGTCAGAAAGGATAACATCTGGCGATATAAGTGGAAGACAACTGTGGTTGAGTTCTGATGTTTAGATGAATTTGTAAGTGTTTAATTTTATTTGGATTAATATATGATATTCAAAAATTACATACCTAGATTTTCTGTGAAAAAAGTCTACATAAATCCTTAACCAAAGCTTCTCAGTCCCTTTCTCCCTAGAAAAGTAAATTGTTGAAACTGCTTATGCTTATGTTTATTATCTGGAACATTTCATAATACTCTTTGATAAGCCAATTTTAGGGAACCAGATAAAATCTTGGAGTTTATGTTTCACTTGAACAATTTTTCATGTACAGAAAATATAAAGACCAAGACAGTGTGATGACTACTTTTTGGAATAATTGTCATTTCTTTCTGCATAGACGTAATCTAATATATGCAGTTTTCTAACTAATTTCATCATTTTATCCAGTAGAAATGAGCCTTCATTATCAGAGATAAGCAACAGCAAAGAGCTAAAGGTACCTGGATGCGGTATAATCTTCGAAGTTTAAAGGCAAATAGTCATAAGTATTGAGCAAAAAGAAGTCTGGAAATACACATATAGTAACCTAATTAAAGAGGCATAAATGCCTGAAAAAGTATTATGATATGTTATGAATGTCCAATTATTTGTAGAACTCATCGCCTGTTGGGGTGACCACAAGGACTTTGTTGACAATGGATATGACTTTGTTCTGAGAGTGCCTTTGTTTAGAATGTAAGTTATTGGTGCTCTAGGTATCTTTGCTTCTGCCACATAGATTGTACTAATGGCTCCTGGAAATGGGGCTGGTAGATAAATACAGCTTCCTAGTATTGAGGAGTGTGAGCTATTGAGTGGGAGAACAATAGGAACTGCTAAAATGTGGGGTAAAATTAACTGCCAGGTATTGTGTACAAAAGCCACAATCCCCAGTAAATTTGTAAGTAAAAAGTCTTCCTAAGAGTATCTCCAGAAGAGAAAGAACAACATTTTGTCATGGCTTGGGGAGCTTTCAACATTTACACAGGAAAAATAAACACCAGCCAAATAATGAAGAACAGACCTTAAATTGCGTAGGTGTCAGAAACTGGGACAATATTTATAACCTGAGAATTTGAAACCCAAAAAGAATGAAGCAGATTGACCTCCTGTGAAGAGAGCAGATTGAAGATACAGCTACCTGAACCCATACACCAGGGCTTCCCTCACACTCTAAGCATATTGAGCCTGAAGCCCTAAACACCAGTGCCATATTTGTTTCCAAATCACATATGCTAATGGAAAGAGAGCTCGAAGAGCCAGTAAGATAATGTTCCCCAAAGAGGTTTCTGAAGATTACCAGGTGAGGGCTAAGCTGGACTGAAACTAAATGCAATTTTTAAAAACTTGTATACTATAAGACATATGAAGACATTTCACAATGAGTGTTCCCTGTTCCAAATTTGCACATAATTTTGTATCAGGATAACTGACTGATAATTGGAGACCATCCTCATGACTATAACGTGAACTCCTCGGTGCACCTTTTTCAGAAAGGAACGTGAGTGAGGCTACAGAGGTAAGGTGGTGGATGGGTGGGGGGTGCATTGGATTTGGAATAGAGAAATTTTCAAAACTGTTAAAATATTTTCAGCTTTAAGTGGCAAGAAAAGATATTATAGAGTTTTGAGCAGAAGGTTGACACATCCTGATGTAAATTTAAGGAGAACTACCCTGGCTTCCCTGTTGATAATAGAGAATTGGGGGTTTCTAGATACAGGAGAGCATGTGGCTGCTGTAATAAAATAAGCAAGAGCAAAGAGTGGCCTTGATCAGAGCAGACATGGCAGAGGTGGAAGGCATATTGGCAGGTTTTGGGTATATAATATTTTAAAACAAGGGCCTACTAGGTGAGCTGATGTATTGAGGCCTGGTGTAAAGAATGAAGTTAAGGTCAACAAAAGATATTTGGCTTAAGCAACTGGAAGCAGTGTATTTTCATTTCTTAACACTAGGAAAGCAATAGAAGTGTAACACTTTAGAGATAAAATGAGGTATTTTGAACAAGCTGATCTGGAGATGCCTATGATACAGACAGCACTGTTGTACAGGCAGTTGGACTGTCTTGAGTTCAGTGGAGGGGCCAGTTCTGGAGATCAAATGTATGGACAATTAGCATATGCAGGGCATTTAAAGACATGAGATGAAGTAAATCACTGAGAAAACAAGTGCAGAAGTAAAGAGAAGAAAATTAAGCACTGAGCCTTGAATCCTTTTTGAGAAGAAAAAGAGATTGAGCAGGAGAAGCTAGTAAAATACCTACTATAAGTAGCTAGTGAAATAACTGGAAAAGCAACACCAGAAAGGATAAGTTAGTGGTCAAATGTGCTAAATGCTGATGATAGGTCAAGTAAGGCAAGGATAATTAACTACAAAATTTCTCAATGCAGAGGTCATTTATGGAGGCAATTATCTCAATGGATTTTGCTACAAAGGAGGGCAAAGAAATAGGTCAAAGGTATCACTGAAAAAGAATAGAGAGAGAAGGTTTTCTTGGTTCGTTGTGGCTGCTGTTTTGTTCTTCCGTTGGGAGAAACTGCAGCCATGTTTATAATAATGGGAGTAATCCAGGAAAGAGAACAAGGAGAAAAAGGAAGGGGAGAAGGAGAAGGAGGAGGAGGAGGAGGAAGAGGACAGAAGAAAACATTACTGATAGAGAAATTTCCTTGAGTAAGCTAGAGGAGGTATTATAGATTCTATGTAAAAAGGGGTGCATCAGATAGGAAAAAAGCATGGCTCAGAAACAGCAAGGAAGACAGAATATAAGAAATCAGTCATACAGGTCTGTGCATAGACAGTGGTGGAAGCTTGTGTGCATTTTCTCTTCAGTGCTTCTGTATTCTTGATGAATTAGGGAAGAAATGATCTGCTGAGATTGAGGAGGGAAGAAAAAGTGTAGGAGGTTCGAGGAGAAAGAAGAAAGTTTTAGTCATTTACATCAAAAGAATGACAGATCGAATAAGCTAGAAGATCTGGTAGAGTTTCTAGGTGACATTAAAGGTCAATTTGCATATGTTGAACCATCCTTGCATCCCTGGTATAAAACTTACTTGATCATGATGTATTATCTTCTTGATGTGTTGTTGGATTCAGTTTATCAGTATTTTCCTGAGAATTGTTTTGTCTATATGTATCAGGAATATTAATCAGTAATTTTTTTGTTGTTGTTGTATCCTTGTTTGGTTTTGGTATCAGAGTAACACTGGCCACGCAGAAAGAGGGAGAATTCTCTCCTTCTCGATTTTTGGAAGAGATTCAGGAGGACTGGTAGTAGATCTTCTTTGTAAGTTTGATGGAATTCAGATCTCAAACGATCTGGTCCTGGGATTTTTTGTTGTCAGGACTTTTTTTTTAATTATTGATTCAATCTAGCTACACATTGTTGGTCTGTTCAGAATTTCTATTTCTTCCTGGTTCAATCTGGGGAAGTTGTATATTTCTAAGGATTTATCCATTTTCTCTAGGTTTTCCAATTTGTGAGCTTATGTGTGTTCATAATGGTCTCCAAGGATCTTTTATATTGCATTTAGTGCTATAAACTTCCCATTTAGAACTACTTTTGCTGTATCCCAGAGGTTTTGGTATGCTTTTAACAGGGACCTAATATCCAGATTTTACAAGGAACTCAAAGCACTGACCATAAAAGTAAAAATAATTAAAACCCCATTAAAATTGGGCAAAGGACAAGAATAGGCATTTTTTGGAAAAAAAAAAAAAAGAGAGACTTACAATGGCCAAAAAGCATATGAAAATAAATGCTCAACCTCACTAATTATCAGAGAAATGCAAATTACATCCACAATCAGATGTCGTATTATACCAGTCAGAATAGCTATTCTTAACAAAATAATAATAATAGGTGATGAGGATGTGGAGAGAAGGGAACACTTACACACTCTTGGTATGAATGTATAATTTTGGTGAATCTTTCCAACCTCTATGGAAAACAGTATGGAGAGTTCTCAAACAACTAAAAGAGAACTACCATTTGATCCAGAAATACCATTACTGGTTATCTTCCCAGAGGAAATCATTATACTAAAAAGATACCTGCACTCATATGTTTATCACAGGGCTATTCACAATAGCAAAGATATAGAGTTTTTGCAGCTACTTGAGTGGGAATGGAGACCATTATCTTAAATCAAACAATTCAGAAACAGAAAGACAAATGCTGCACGTTCTCCTTTATAAGTGGGAGCTAAATAGAGAGGCTAGGCACAGTGGCACAGTGGCTCACACCTATAATCCCAATACTTTGGAAAGCTGAAGTAGAAGGATCGCTTCAGCCCAGGAATTCAAGACCAGCTTGGGCAACATAGTGAGACCCTGTCTCTATAAAAATCAGTGCAAATAGATTGTTGAATAATAGGCATCAGATACTTAGCATGATGGAAGGTTGGGGGGCGGAGGTGGATGACGAGAAATTACTTACTGAGTACAACATACAAAATTTGGGTGATGGCTATACTAAAAACCTAAACTTCACCGCTACATAATATATCCATGTAACAAAATTACACTTGTATGCCTTAAATTAATACACAAAAAAGTCAACTTGAGGCCAAGTGTGGTGGCTCATGCCTATAATTCCAGCACTTTGGGAGGCCGAGGCAGGCAGATCACGAGGTCAGGAGATAGAGACCAGCCTGGCTAACATGGTGAAACCCCAACTCTACTAAAAAATACAAAAATTAGCTTGGCGTGGTGGTGCATGCCTGTAGTCCCAGCTACTCAGGAGGCTGAGGCAGGGGAATCACTTGAACCTGGGATGCAGAGATTGCAGTGAGCTGAGATCGCGCCACGGCACCCCAGCCTGGGTGATAGACTGAGACTCCCTCTAAAAACAAAACAAAAAAAAAGCCAACTTGAAGTTAGAGGTCATTAATTTAAAATAAAATCAGTCATCAAGGCTTTGTGTTTTCTTCAGGAGAACATGAAAGCAACTATGAGGTTTTCTTCTTATTCTTGAAGAAAGAAAAGCTCCATGGCTCCCTTTTCCTCTTCCTCAAAACAAGGCCATTGTTGTTCTACAGGAATTACAATTAAGACTCTGATTCTTAGTGGTTTTGAGTTTATTTATTTTGTACACCACAGTGAAATAGGTTTTTGAGATACAAGTGACACCAAGACACACTGTAGCCCTAAAGAAACTTACAAACCTAGACGGGTTTTTAAGGAATAATAATGACATGCAGAAATTATAGGATCAAACCAAGAACTTCATGCAAGAAAACAGACCTACACCAAGTCAGCCCTGGGCTTCTTGACAGCACGTTAACTATGTACTCAACATTACTCTCTCTTCCTCTCTCTCTCTGTATGTATGTGTGCATTTATATAAATAAGTTTAAAGGCAGTAAAGCTCTCACATTAAATTCTTGGCAGTTAGAATCAATGTTAGATTTGGAAAGTAAATCTTCTAAAACATTTAATTATTTCTATGATTCCTAGTACACAAAAAGTGAATGGGTGCAATAGATATCATCTATGTAGTGTTCATGTAATTAACTTCACCTCATTGTCTATAATAATTAAAGCTGAATAAGCTTCCCTTCCCAAATTCCCTTTCCTTTTCTCCAGTATGACGGTAGTAACTAACTTACAGAGTTGTTTTGATGATTAAATCCACGTAAGGCACCTAGTATAGTGCCTAAAACATATAAAGTGCTCAATTTTTGGTTGTGATTATTGTTACCCAAGTTCACTTCAAGTAGATTAGGGTAGGGAAGCAGGTAGTAATTCTCCAAACCAAAGAATTAGTTTTTATACCACCTCATCATCTTAGTCCTGGGCATGGCCAGAATACTTAAAGAGTCCACTACAGAGAAGATTGCTACACTGCCATCATCATAGCTTTTCAATTCTTCACATTTTTCTGTTTTGAATTTCTGCAGAACTAAGGAGAACATGCTTCCCTTTGCAAAGGAATGGTACAGGCCGGGCGCGGTGGCTCACGCCTGTAATCCCAGCACTTTGGAAGGCTGAGGTGGGTGGATCACGAGGTCAGAAGATTGAGACCATCCTAGCTAACACGGTGAAATCCCGTTTGTACTAAAAATACGAAAATTAGCCGCACGCGCGTGGTGGCGGGCGCTTGTAGTCCCAGCTGCTGGGAGGCTGAGGCAGGAGAATGGCTTGAACACGGTAGGCGGAGCTCGCTGTGAGCAGAGATCACTCCACTGCACTCCAGCCTGGGGGACAGAGCGAGACTCCATCTCAAAGATAAATAAAATAAATAAAATAAAAAAACAAAGGAATGGTAGAATGTGTCATGTAAGGCACGAGGTTTTGGATGAGAAAGGGATGAGGAGGCGTGCAGATAAAGCACTCTATGAGGCGCTGAGATTTACCCTAAGAATACAGAGCCCAAGAGAAGAAAATAGGCGCATGAAATCACCATGGAAACACATTTTCAAGCATATTCACAAATGAGTAGTCTCAGAGATATGAACCAGAAAAAAAATGGAGACAGAGACTTATACCAAATGGAAGAAAATAATTGCGCCTGTTAAGCCAATGTGAAACGCCTGTTGTTCCCAGCAATCTGAGACTATCAACAGGTACTCTTTTTTCTACCAATTTAAATGTCTGGTTTTTCATAATTCTCTTTAGTCTGGAAAATAAATTGTTTTGTCTGCAGTGACTTATAATCTATTTGCTCTTATCCTTTTCTTCAGTAAAATGAAGTAGACAGCAATTTTCAAATTGAGACAAGTCTCAAAGTTCACTTGAAGTCATATGATGTTTTTAGAATTCATATCATAAACTTTGGTTTTACCCTACATTTAATGACCACATCATTTTCTGTTTGATGGCATTCTTTAATATCAAAGCAAATGCTATAGGATTGTATACAGATAGCAGAATCACTCTGAGTGTTTCGGGTGAATTCACACCCTTGTACATGACCAGATAAAAAATGTGAGATTGTATAAATCCACTGGACACAGATAACAGATGATATAAAATAATATGGCATTACTTATCTAATTCATAAGTGCTCAATCAATACAAATACAAATTTTAATAAACAATTATTTGAAAAGCAAAATATGTGAATTATGAAATACATCATTGTTTTAAAGAAAATAAATGCTGTCTTCACAATTTCTGTTGCTCAATGAAATTATGCTAGTTTGTAAATGTATTATTACAGCTTTTATTATTATAAGATTTGCAGTTAACAATATATTCTCTCACACATCATCATCTATTATAATTAGAAACACCTGATTGTATATAAGACCAAAGGAGAGATTTGGAGGTCAAAGAGGTTAAGTACATGCTCAAACTTAAAAAGAGTGTGAAGGCAGGTCTTGAATCTCACTTTTCTGATTTGCCTCTACACATTGACTATTCTCTCACTGATTCCTTATATTTATTCCAAATATATTTTCAAACTTCATATAAAAGTGTTTTCACATATAAAATTTACCTTTCTGAGATAAGTAATCTTTGTTAATCATACTTGTACTCCCAAGGATGTTATTAGGGAGTTTTCCCAACTAAAACTTATTATTTTAGGTTCCAAAACTTAAAGAAAGTTTACTTCTCGTTTATTCATTACTGCAACAAACATTTATTAAATTCACTCAGTACATTCTGGACTATGTGAGGTGACATAGACAATGTAAACAAAAAACAAGGGAGCAAGATGGCCAAACAGAACCCTTCAGTGACTGTCCTCCTCACAGGAACACCAAATTGAACTACTATCCACAGAAGAAATCACCTTCATAAGAACCAAAAAGCAAGTGAGTGATCACAGTACCTGGTTTTAACATCATGTTAAGGAAAGAGACACTGAAGAGGGTAGGAAAGACAGTCTTAAATTCCTGACACCACTGCTCCCCCATCCCCTGGTGGCACTATGTGGGGCAGAAGAGAGAATCTGTACACTTGGGGGAAGGACAGTACAGTAATTGTGGGGCTTTGCACTGGAATTCAGTGCTGCCCTGTCATAATGGAAAGCAATACAAGGCAGACTTCAGCCAGCACCCATGGAGGGAGCTTTTAGACTAGCCCTAGCCACAGGGAAATTATCCATCCTGGTAGTGGGAATCTGAGTTCCAGCAACCCCCATCATCATGGGCTAAAGGGCTCTAGGGTCCCAAGTAAACTTAAAAGGCAGTCTAAGCCACAAGGACTGCAATTCCTGGGCTAGTTCTAGGGCTGTGCTGGGCTTGGAGCTGGCAGACTTGGGGTGCCCATGACCCAGTGAAACACCAGCTGAGGTGGCCGAGGGAGTGTGTGCATCACCGCTCCTCCAACTCCAGGCAGCACAGCTTGCATTTCTGGAAGGAGAGGAAAGAAAAAAGAGGAGTTTATCTCACAACTTGGACTCCAGCTCAGCCACAGCAAAATAAAGCACGAAGCAGAGCCCTATCCAGACCTAACTCCTGGACAATATTTCTAGACCTATCCTGGGACAGAATAGAACCCAGTGCCCTGAAGTGAAAGACCCAGTTCTGGCAGCATTTACTACCTGCTGACCAAGGATCTCTTGGGTCTTGAATAAACATCAGCAGTAGACAGGCAATCATCACCCCAGGCCTTGGGCAAGACCCAGTATTGTACTGGCTTCAGGTCTGACTCAGCACAGTTTCAGCAGGGTGGCCACAGGAGTGCTTGCATTACCTCTTCCCCAGCTACAGGCAGCTCAGCAGAGAGAGAGAGAGATAGAGATAGAGATAGAGATAGAGAGAGAGAGAGAGAGAGAGAGAGAGAGAGAGAGAAAGTTGATTTGTCTGGGGGAAATTAAGAGAAGAAAATAAGAGACCCTGCCTGGTAATCCAGGGAAATCTCTCAGATCTTACACAAAACCACCAAGGTGGTACCTCTAAAGTCTGCAAATCACAACATTACTGGGTTTGGAGTAACCCTAATGCATATATGGTTCCAGTGACCAAAGGCTTTGATCACAACACTCAATTTCCTTTGAATACTTGGAAAGCTTTCTCAAGAAGGACAGGTACAAACAAGCCCAGACAGAGACGACTGGAATAAATACCTCACTCTTCAGTGCACAGACACTGACAAATATCCACAAGCATTAAGACCACTCAGGAAAACATGGCCTTACAAAATGAGCTAAGTAAGACACCAGTTACCAATTCTGGAGTGACAGCGATATCTGACCTTTTGGATAGAGAATTAAAAATAGCTGTTTTGAGAAAACTCAGTGAAATTCAAGATAACACAGAGAAGGAATTCAGAATATTATCAGATAAATTTAACAAAGAGATAGAAATAATTAAAAAGAATCAAGCAAAAATTCTGGAGATGAGGACTTGGATTGACAAAATGAAGAATGCATCAGAGTCTCTTCACAGCAGAATTGATCAAGCAGAGGAAAGAATTGGTGAGCTTGAATACAGGCTATTTGAAATACACAGCCAGAGGGGTCGAAAGAAAAAAGAATAAAAAATAATAAAGCATACCTACAAGATCTGGAAAATAGCAAATCTAAGAATTCTGGGCCTTCAAGTAGAGGTAGAGAGAGATTGGGGTAGAAAGTTTACTCAAAGAGATAATAAGAAAGAACTTTCCAAACCTAGAGAAAGATGCCAATATTCAAACACAAGAAGGTTATAAAACACCAAGCAGATGTAACCCAAATCAAACTACCTCAGCATTTAATAATCAAACTGCAAAAGGTAAAGGATAAAGAAAGGATCCTAAAAGCAGCAAGAGAAAAGACACAAATAACATACGAAGGAGCTCTAATACATCTGGCAGCATACTTCTCAGTGGAAAACTTACAGGCCTGGAGAGAATGGCATGATATATCTAAAGTGCTGAAGAAAAAAAACACTTTAATTGTAGAATATTATATCCAGCAAAAATAGCTTTCAAACATGAAGAAGAAATAAAGACATTCTCAAACAAAAGCTGAGGGATTTTGTCAACCCCCAAATCCTATTCTTTAAGAAATACTAAAGGGAGTATTTCAATCTGAAAGAAAAGGACATTAACAAGCATTAAGAAATAATCTAAAGGTACAAAATTCACAGGCAACAGTAAGGATACAGACAAATACAGAATATTATAAAACTGTAATTGTGATATGTAAACTACTCATATCTTCAATAGGAAGACTACAAGACAAAGCTATCAAAAACAATAACTGCAACAACTTTTTAAGACATATAATTAGCATAATAACATATAAATAGAAAAAACAAAACATATAAACAGTATAATAAGATATAAATCGAAAAAAAGTTTAAAATTGTGAGGGAGTGAAATAAAGAAAATTTTATTAATTTTCTCTTTGTTGTTTTTTATTTCATTTGTTTCTTCCTGTAATTGAAGTTAAGTTGTCGCCAGTTTAAAATAGTGGGTTATAAGATATTATTTGCAAGCTTCATGGTAACCTCAAATCAAAAAACCTACAACAGATACGCAAAAATATAAAGCAAGAAATTAAGACATACTGCTACAGAAAATCATTTTCATAAAGAGGAAGATAGAAAAAAAAGAGAGGAATAAGGAGATCATGAAACAACCAGAAAATAAATAACAAAATTATAGTAGTAAGTCCTTACCAATATCAATATCGAATGTAAATAAACTCAACTCTCCAATCAAAAGACATAGAGTGGCTGAATGAATTTAAGAAAAGAGAAAACAGGGGGTGGCTGGCAAGATGGCAGAATAGGAACAGCTCCTGTCTGCAGCTCCCAGCGAGATCAACGCAGAAGACGGATGATTTCTGCATTTCCAACTGAAGTACCCAGCTCATCTCACTAAGACTGGTTAAACAGTGGGTGCAGCCCATAGGGGGAGCAGAAGCAGGGTGGGGTGTTGCCTCACCTGGGAAGTACAAGGGGTCGGGGAACTCCCTCCCGCAGCCAAGGGAATCTGTGAGGGACTGTGCCTTGAGGACTGTGTCCTGGAACTCCAGCCCAGATACTACACTTTTCCCACATTCTTCGCAACCCGCAGATCAGGAGATTTCCTCTGATGCCTATGCCACCTGGGTCCTGGGTATCAAGCACAAAACTGGGCAGACACCGAGCTAGCTGCAGTTTTTGTTGTTGATGTTGTTGTTGTTGTTTTCCATACCTCAGTGGTGCTTGGAATGTCAGCGAGACAGAACTGTTCACTCCCCTGGAAAAGAGACTGAAGCCAGGGAGCCGTGTGGTCTAGCTCAGCAGATCTCAATGCCACGGAGCCCAGCAAGCTAAGGTCCACAGGCTTGCAATTCTCACTGCCAGCACAGCAGTCTAAAGTCGACCTAAGATGCTCCAGCTTGGTGGGGGGAAGGTCGTCTGCCATTACTGAGGCTTGAGTAGCCCATTTTCCCCTCACAGCATTAACAAAGCCACCTGGAAGTTTGAACTGGGCGGAGCCACCACAGCTCTGCAAAGCCACTGTAGCCAGACTGCCTCTCTAGGTTCCTCCTCTCTGGGCATGGCATCTCTGAAAGAAAGGAAGGGGCTTATAAATAAAACTCCCATCTCCCTGGGACAGAGAACCTGGGTGAAGGGGAGGCTGTAGGCCAGTTTCAGCAGACTTAAACCTTCCTGCCTGCCAGCTCTAAAGAGAGCAGCAGACCTCCCAGCACAGCGCTCGAACTCTGCTAAGGGACAGACTGCCTCCACAAGTGGGTCCCTGACCCCCGTGCCTCCTGACTGGGAGACACCTCCCAGCAGGGGTTGACAGACACCTCATACAGGAGACTTTTGGCTGACATCTTGTGGGTGCCCCTCTGGGACGAAGCTTCCAGAGGAAGGAAAAGGCAGCAATCTTTGCTGTTCTGCAGCCTCTGCTGGTGATACCCAGGCAAACAGGGTCTGGAGTGGACCTCCAGGAAACTCCAGCAGACCTGCAGCAGAGGGACCTGACTGTTAGAAAGAAAACTAACAAATAGAAAGGAATACCATCAACATCAACAAAAAGGACTTCCACACAGAAATCCCATCCGAAGGTCATCGACATGAAAGACCAATGGTATATAAATCCACGAAAATGAGGAAAAACCAGTGCAAAAAGGCTGAAAATTCCAAAAACCAGAATGCCTCTTCTCCTACAAAGGATCACCAGTAAGGGAACAAAACTGGATGGAGAATGAGTTGGACAAATTGACAGAAGTAGGCTTCAGAAGGTGGGTAATAACAAACTCCTCCAAGCTAAAGGAGCATGTTCTAACCCATTGCAAGGAAGCTAAGAACCTTGAAAAAAGGTTACAGGAATTACTAACTAGAATAACCAGTTTAGAGGAGAACATAAATGACCTGATGGAGCTGCAAAACATAGCACGAGAACTTCATGAAGCATATGCAAGTATCAATAGCCAAATCTATGAAGCGGAAGAAAGGATATCAGAGACTGAAGATCAACTTAATAAAGTGTGAAAACAGGATTAAAGAAAAAAATAATGAAAAGGAATGAACAAAGCCTTCAAGAAATATGGGACTATGTGAAAAGACCAAACCTACGTGTCATTGGTGTACCTGAAAGTGACAGGGAGAATGGAACCAAATTGGAAAACACTCTTCAGGATATTATCCAGGAGAACTTCCCCAACCTAGCAAGAAAGGCCAACATTCAAATTCAGGAAATACACAGCACACCACAAAGATACTCCTCGAGAAGAGTAACCCCAAGACACAAAACCAGCAGATTCACCAAGTTTGAAGTGATGGAAAAAATGTTAAGGGTAGCCAGAGAGAAAGGTTGGGTTACCCACAAAGGGAAGCCCAGCAGAATAACAGCAGATCTCTCTGCAGAAACCCTACAAGCCAGAAGAGAGTAGGGGTCAATATTCAACATTCTTAAAGAAAAGAATTTTCAACCCAGAATTTCATATCCAGCCAAACTAAGCTTCACAAGCAAAGAAGAAATAAAATCCTTTACAGACAAGAAAATGGTGAGAGATTTTGTCACCAGCAGACTTGCCTTACAAGAGCTCCTGAAGGAAGCACTAAACATAGAAAGGAAAAACCAGTACCAGCCACTGCAAAAACATATCAAAATGTAAAGACCATTGACACTGTGAAGAAATTGCATCAACTAATGGGCAAAATAACCAGCTAGCATCATAATGACAAGATCAAATTCACACATAACAATATTAACCTTAAATGTAAATGGGCTAAATGCCACAATTAAAAGACACAGACTGGAAAATTGGGTAGAGAGTCAAGACCCATCAGTGTGCTGTATTCAGGAGACCCATCTCATGTGCAAAGACACACATAGGCTCAAAATAAAGGGATGGAGCAATATTTACCAAGGAAATGGAAAGAAAAAAAAAAAAAAAGCAGGGTTTGCAATCCTAGCCTCTGATAAAAAAGACCTTAAAGCAACAAAGATCAAAAAAGACAAAGCCATTACATAATGGTAAAGGGATCAGTGCAACAAGAAGAGCTAACTATCCTAAATATATATGCACCTAATACAGGAGCATTCAGATTCATAAAGCAAGTTCTTCGAGACCTACACAGAGACTTAGACTCCTAACAATAATAGTGGGAGGTTTTAAAACCCCACAGTCAATATTAGACAGATCAACAAAACAGAAGATTAACAAGGATATTCAGGACTTGAACTCAGCTCTGGATCAAGGGACCTAATACACATCTACAGAACTCTCAACCCCAAATCAACAGAATATACATTCTTCTCAGCAGCACATCACATTTATTCTAAAATTGACCACATAATTGGAAGTAAAACACTCCTCAACAAATGCAAAAGAACAGAAACCATAACAAACAGTTTCTCAGACCACAGTCCAATCAAATTACAACTCAGGATTAAGAAACTCTCTCAAAACCACACAACTACATGGAAACTGAACAACCTGCCCCTGAATGACTACTGGGTAAATAACGAAATTAAGACAGAAATAAATAAGTTTTCTGAAACAAATGAAAACCGAGAAACAACATACCAGAATCTCTGGGACACAGCTAAAGCAGTGTTTAGAGAAAATTTATAGCACTAAATGCCCACAGGAGAAAGCAGGAAAGATCTAAAATTAACACCCTAATGTTACAATTAAAAGAACTAGAGAAGCAACAGCAAACAAATTCAAAAGCTAGCAGAAGACAAGAAATAAGTAAGATCAGAGCAGAACTGAAGGAGATAGAGACATGAAAAACCCTTCAAAAAATCAATGAATCCAGGAGCTGTATTTTTGAAAAGATTAATAAAATAGATAGACTGCTAGCCAGACTAATAAAGAAGAAAAGGGAGAAGAATCAAATAGACACAACAAAAAATGGTAAAGGAGATATTACTACTGACCCCACAGAAATACAAACTGCCATCAGAGAATACTATAAACACCTCTATGCAAATAAATTAGAAAATCTAGATGAAATGGATAAATTTCTAGACACATATACCCTCCCAAGATTAAACCAGGAAGAAGTTGAATCCCTGAATAGACCAATAACAAGTTCTGAAATTGGGGCAGTAATGAACAGCCTACCAACCAAAAAAAGCCCAGGACCAGATGGATTCTTAGCCAAATTCTATGAGAGATACAAAAAGGAGCTGGTACCATTCCTTCCTCCTGAAACTACTCCAAACAATAAAGAAAGAGGGACGCCTTCCTAACTTATTTTATGAGGCTAGCATCATCCTGATACCAAAACCTGGCAGAGACACAACAAAAAAGAAAATTTTAGGCCAATATCCCTGATGAACATCGATATAAAAATCAATAAAACACTGGCAAACCAAATCTAGCAGCACATCAAAAAGCTTATCCACCACCATCAAGTTGGCTTCATCCCTGGGATGCAAGGCTGGTTCAACATATGCAAATCAATAAACAAAATCCATCACATAAACAGAACCAATGACAAAAACCACATAATTATCTCAAAAGATGCAGAAAAGGCCTTCGATAAAATTCAACTCCGTTTCATGCTAAAAATTCTCAATAAACTAGATATTGATGAAACATATCTTAAAATAATAAGAGCTATTTATGACAAACCCACAGCCAATATCATACTGAAAGGGCAAAACCTGGAAGCATTCCTTTTGAAAACCGGCACAAGACAAGGATGCCTTCTCTCATCATTCCTATTTAACACAGTATTGGAAGTTCTGGCCAGGGCAATCAAACAAGGGAAAGAAATAAAGATATTCAAATAGGAAGATAGGAAGTCAAATTGTCTCTGTTTGCTGATGACATAATTTTATATTTACATTTAGAAAACTCCATCCTCTCAGCCAACAAACATATGAAGAAAAGCTCATCATCACTGGTCATTAGAGAAATGCAAATCTAAACCACAGTGAGATACCACCTCACAGCAGTTAGAATGGTGATCATTAAAAGTCAGGAAACAACAGATGCTGGAGAGGATGTGGAGAAATAGGAACACTTTTACACTGTTGGAGGGAGTATAAATTAGTTCAACCATTGTGGAAGACAGCATGCTGATTCCTCAAGGATCTGGAACCAAAAATACCATTTGACCCAACAATCCCATTACTGGTATATACCCAAAGGATTATAAATCATGCTACTATAAAGACACATGCACATGTGTGTTTATTGCAGCACTATTCACAATAGCAAAGACTTGGAACCAGCCCAAATGCCCATCAATAATAGACTGGATAAAGAAAATGTGGCAAATATACTATGCAGCCATAAAAAAGGATGAGTTCATGTCTTTTGCAGGGACATGGATGAGGTTGGAAACCATCATTCTCAGCAAAATAACACAAGAACAGAAAACAAAACACCTCATGTTCTCATTCATAAATGGGAGTTGAACAATGAGAACACATGGACACAGGGAGGGTAATATCACAAATCAGGACCTGTTGGGGGATTGGGGGCTAGGGAAGCCATAGCATTAGGAGAAATACCTAATGTAGATGACAGGTTGTTGGGTGCAGCAAACCACCAGGCACATGTATACCTATGTAACAAACCTGCATATTCTGCACATGTATCCCAGAACTTAAAGTATAATAATAAAAAAAAATCTATTGCCCATAAGAAACACAGTTCACCTGTAAGGACACACACAGACAGAAAATGAAGGGGTGAGAAAAGATATTTCATGCAAATAGAAACCAAAAAAGAACAAAGGTAGCTACACTTATATCAGATAAAATGGATTTCAAGACAAAAAGCATAAAAAGAGACAAAGGTTACTGTGTAATGATAAAGGAGTCAATTCAGCAAAGGAATATAACAATTGTAAATATATAAGCACCCAACACTGGAGCACCCAGACATATAAAGCAAATATTATTAGAGCCAAAGGGAAAGATAGACCCCAATAAAATAAAGGTTGGGGACTTCAACATCCACTTTCAGCATTGGACAGATAACCCAGACAGAAAATCGACAAAGAAACAACAGGCCTAATCTGCACTACAGACCAAGTGGACCTAATAGATATACAGAGAACATTTTATCAAACAGCTGCAAAATACATTCTTCACCTCAACACATGGACAGTTCTCAAAGAGAGACCATATGTTAGACCACAAAACAAGTCTCAAAACATTCAAAATACTGAAATCATATTAAATATCTTCTCTGACCACAATGGAATAAAACCCTAGATATCCACAACAACAGGAATTTTGGAAACAATAAAAACACATGGAAATTAAACAATATGCTCCTGAATGACCAGTGGATGAATGAAGAAATTAAGAAGAAAATTTTAAAGTTCCTTGAAACAAAGGAAAATAGAAATAAAACCCACCAAAACCTACGAAATACAACAAAAGCAGTACTAAGTGGAAAGTTTATAGCAATAAGTACCTACATTGAAAAATGTAGAGAAACTTCAAATAAACAGCTTAATGATGCATCTCAAAGAAATAGAAGAGCAAGAGCAAATTAAACTCAAAATTTGTAGATTAAAAGTAATGATAAAGATCAGAGCAGAAATGAGTAAAATTAAAATGAAAAAATACAAATTATCAATAAAATAAAAAGTTGGTTTTTTGAAAAGATGAACAAAATTGACAAACCTTTAGCCAGACCAAGAAAAAAAGATCCAAACTAATAAAACCAGAGATGAAAAAGGAGATATTATAACTGATACCACAAAATTCAAAGGATCACTAGAGACTACTATGAGCAACTATGTGCCACTAAATTGAAAAACCAAGAAGAAATGAATAAATTCTTAGACACATAAAACCTACCAAGATTTAGCCATGAAGAAATTCAAAACTTGAATAGGCCAATAACAAGTAATGAGATTGAAGCCATAATAAAAAGTCACCCAGCAAAGACAAGTCTGGGACCCAATGGCTTTACTGCTGTAAGCTACCAAACTTTTAAAGAACAACTCATACCAATTCTACTGAAACCATTGCAAAAGGTCAAAGTGGAGGGAATACTTCCAAACTCATTCTACAAGGCCAGTATTACCCTGATGCCAAAGCCAGACAAAGGCACATCAAAAAAAAAAAGAAAATTACAGGCCAATATCTCCAATGACTATTGATGCAAAAATCTTCAATGGAATCTTAGCAAATTAAATTCAACAATACCTTAAAAAATCATTTGTTATGACCAATTGGGATTCATCCCAGGAATGCAAGGATGGCCCAATATATGGAAATAAATAATTGCAATACATTATATCAACAGAATGAAGGACAAAAAGCATATGATCATTTCATTTGATGGTGAAAAGGCATTTGATAAAATTAAACATCCTTTCATGATAAAACCCCTAAAAAACTGGGTATAGAAGGAACATACCTCAACACAATAAAAGCCATATATGACAGACGCACAGTTGGTATCATACTGAATAGGGAAAACCTGAAAGCCTTTCCTCTTACATCTGGAGCAAGACAGGGGTATCTACTTGTGACACTGCTATTCAACATAGTACTGCAAGCCCTAATTAGAGCAATCAGACAAGGAAAAGAAATAAAAGAAATCCAAATTGGAAAGAAAGAAGTCAAATTATCCTTGTTAGCAAATAATATCATTTAATATTTGGAAAAACCTGAAGAGTACACCAAAAAACTATTAGAACTGATAAACAAATTCAGTAAAGATGCAGGATACAAAATCAATATATGAAAATCAGTAGCATTTCTATATGTCAACAGCAAGCAATCTGAAAAAAAGAAATCATATATACATATGATTTTTTAATTTTAATTTTAAATTAAAATTTAAAAAACAAAAATATTATTTATGCCACCAAGCATCCTAAAATCAATACTACCAGGAGACATAAGGAATACTGTAGTGAGAAACACTCAATCCAAAATCAGAAAATTTGATGTGTACCTTGATAGCTGTGCACTATCAGCAAAGTACAACATGGTGCCTCAGTTTTCATAAACTTTTAAAAATTTCAATAGGTTTTTGGGGGGAACAGGTTGTGTTTGACTACATAAATTATCTAGTGGTGATTTCTGAGATTTTGGTGCACCCATCACCTGAGCAGTGTACACTGTACCCAATATGTAGTCTTTTATCCCTCATACCCCTCCCACCCTTTCCCCTGAGTCCCCAAAATTCATTGTATCATTCTTATGCCTTTGCATCCTCATATCTTAGCTCCCACTTATGAGTGAGAATATCCACTGTTTGGTTTTCCATTCCTGAGTTACTTCACTTACAATAATGGTCTCCTATTCCATCCAGGTGCTATCAATGCCATTATTTCATTCCTTTCTATGGCTGAGTAGTATTCCATGGCATATATATACCACAATATGACCTGGCCAGGTGACATCAGCCAGCCTTTATCATCAGCTACACTAGTGTTGAATATTATATTTATGAGTGGAGAAATCATGGTAGCAGCAATGAAGGCTATGCATAAGCCTGAAAGAATGGGCTCTCCCTTACCAGGACTGCTCTAGTTAGAACTGTCCAGCATGTCAACCACCAAGACTAGCATTCAGCATCCAATAGAATGCCATGACTTGAGAGGATCAACCAATCACTTTTTGGACTATAATGAATGCCTTCTACCCTGAAAGAGCCATCAATAATTTTACTTGAAGTAGACAAATGTTCTCTTGGTTTGTTTCCCTGCCCTCTATGGCTGTAGTTGTGACTATGATCTGAAGGCTAATTGAACATTTGATTAACTGGCTTAGGATTACATATAAAAATATCCAGACCAAAGGATCCATGTTTATAGTGAAAGAAGTGTGAAAATGGGTACCAGCATGTGATCTACTGGCTCCATTTTGTGCCACAGCCCCATTGCCATTGTTTTGAGAGTGTGACAGAACAGCTTATTGAAAGCACAGCTGAAGTATCAGTTCAAAGGTGGCATTATAGAGATGGAGTTCCAGGCTCCAGGAATCAATGCTCTCAGGATTTCATACTTAATTTGTGGAGCCCAGTGCAAAATAAAAATATGGGATCCTTTGTTCAAAATTATTAAGAATTCCAAGAGGATGACACCAGAGCACTAAAGCAAGTATAGGCTTTTCTAAGCACGGAACCTTAGGTCAGCTCAGGTCTCAAACCCTGAAACCGGCCTGCAGGGTATCCACTAAATCAACCAACTTTATATGGCATTTGGGTCTCAATGGTCACAATCAACGTGTCCAGGAAACAAACTAAAAAGAAGAGTGGCCCCACTTTCCAAGACTTCCTATGACCTGCTTGGGTCATTTGTGTTTCTCATCCTTGCAACTCTAGGTTCTATAGGTTTTGATATTCTGCTTCCACCAGGAATACCCCAAGGGTCACATTGAACTATAAGCCACTACTGCTACCTGGGCATTGTAGGTTTCTGATGCCAAGGGACAAGAGGTTATGAAGAGAAGCCACCATCCTAGCAGGCATCTAGACCTTGGTCATCAGGAAGACAGCCTGCTGCTGAGCAATGGGAGTAGAGAAGAATGTTTTGGGCATCCATTTCACCTGCTTGAATACATCTTCCTACTCTCTTGCCCAATTTTGACAGCCAATGGACTAGCACAGACACCTTGTTGAGGAGGACAAGGCAACTGGGTATATTTCTTTTCACCACGAAAGACATCTAGACTAGCAAAGGTGCTATGAGGGTGATGGGAATCCAGGATGAAGAGTGGAAGCCAGAGATGCTAAGCGTCATGTGTGACTTCTAGGTCAGCTGCAGTTGCAAGAGCTATAACTCATCTAATCTTCCTCTTCTAAGCTCCTCCAGGAAAGGAGTCCCCCTTGAGGCCCTAGAGGCACTGCTCCCAGAATGTTTCTGTAAAAGCAGATCTAAGCAATGGTGGACACTGTCCAGGTCCGCCTTCGGAAATGTGTCCCCTGCCCTGGGAGTGTTGCTGTCAGATACCCTTCCCAAAGTGATCCTCTCTAGGAATGCCTCCCTGAAGAGCAATGTTTTACTCTCGACTTTCTGGGGCCACTTGCTGACAATTCCTGATCTATTTGGAGATCTAAATTCTTGACCCACTCACCCCAACCTGAGGAGTCTCTGAAGGGTCCTCCAGCTTCTAAGCTTGGTCATCTCAGTCTTTGCAGAGCCTGTGTTGCACCTCAGCTTCTCTGCCCAACCCTGCTCCTTAGAATTTACTTCCTGTGGAATCCAAACTGTGACATCATTGGAAGCTCTCCTTGGTCTGTGCCTATAGTGGTCATTTACCCACAGGGGTCAGAGAACTTACAAGAGAATATTGTCGCTTATGGTGGTGGCAGAAGCTGTAGGTAGCCAGGAAAGGTGCTTAGAATCTTTTATGCCAAAAGAAAGGAATCCTTTCAAGAAGTGTACTGCAATGCCAACATTCCCTCCAAGGACCATGTAGGACACACCATGTTCTTTCAAAAGTCCATGGTATTACAGATGGCTCAGACTAGTGTTTTTGGCTAATGGTTGTAGTAAAATTTTAGGTAAAAAATGAAATTATTGTAATGAATCATAAAGAACAAAGCAGATATTTTTATATGAGAATTGAAGAGTTAGCTTGCCTTAGGGAAAAACCATTAAATATACACAGTTTTCTGCTCCAAACAACTATGAATATTTCTGATCTTCCCTTTGGATAAGGATGGGAAAGAGCACCACTAGATCATTGATGGCTGCTTATCACGTATCTGAGGCTGTGCTCATCTGCTCCAATCAGGACACCATATCCAGCACAGCAGTTGAAGTTGGGCTTACTTGGTTGAGCTTGCCATAGTCTTCTGGTATCTTCTAAGTTCTGCCCAGATTTTTGAGGAGCTACACTAGAAAATTAAATGCAGACATGAAGTTCACCATCAGCATCATGTTGGTCTTTAAGCAAGGGATTCTTTCCTGCCATTTTCCCCAGAATGGAATGTGAGTTTTAATTTACTGTGTGACTGGTGTGGGAGCAGGCAGTGGGCACAGCTTTAGTATCTACAACTTTACTGACCTCACTCTGATAACTTACTCCAGAAGCCAAAGACCTGTGGCACATGTGTCAACCATCAATATTCCCATTGCTATTATACATTCAGGGACAAGGACAAGTTACACCGCGAGCTGTAACTGGACAGGACTCCACTCATTACCCAGGTCCTTAGGCACCCATTGTAAAGGTGACCCGTGATGACACTTCAGGTCAGAGTGTCAAAGTTAAATTCCATTCTGTGCACAACAGTCATCCAAATGCTGGGTAGCTCCCGCTCCACAATGTATGGCTGCCCCAGGGCATGGCTACAGATTTCTCTGGGGAGGCTCTGGGGAAGAACTGCCATGTATACTTGTTGTTAGCATTTAGTCTTACAGGGTCCTCTCTCCTGGGGATCAGGTCTCTCCCTCAGATGAAAGAGGTTGGGCCTGAAATTCCACTGAGGTCCAGAAGCTGGACACAGGATTATGAGTTTGTTTTAGAAGAATGCCTTTATCTTCCTAGTCATCCACCCTTGATCTCACTTCATTAAAGAACTTCGGTGGAGTTCTTCTTCACTGACCCACTATTTTGTCTCCAACAATGCCATGTTCTATTAACCATCTTCATAACTCTGTGCCCCTCAGGACTTCCATGCTGTCATTCTGACCTTGCTACTTATTATAAAAGTACATGCAAGGCCTGTAATTATTAAGTGTTGCCAACTGACCATTAATGTTCTGAAGTCCTGCCATCCTCTTTGCTATGATGGAGCCCAGTTCTATGACCAACCATCAACCCAGTCTTAAAAAGGAGAGCTGGTGCCCCTCTCATTAACACATTAAGTATCCATTGGTGCATAAGCCAAGCCCCCATTAGAATGAAGCCATCTGGTAGCTTTTCCAACCCTACATAGTATGCACAGTCTAAAGGTGTGCCCATTTATAACTTGAGAAACTCTGCTTATTTATAAACACAAGACACCTGTACAGACCAAATTTGAGTACTGTCCTGAATGGATGTGTGATGTTAGAATTAGGATGTATGGATTAAGACACGCAAAATATTGAGACAAGGTGTCATTTCTCCCTAGGATAAATGCTTTTCCCAACGTCATACAGCTATAGGACACAGTTAGATTATTTTAAGCCCCTTGCCTATTTGCCTAATAAACTCTTCATTTAACCACATCCCAATTAAACATCAACCTTGTATAAACTTCAGAAAATCCTTCTTAAAAAAGTCAGTGCCACTTTCTATCACGGAAGTGTTTCACAAAGCCAGAATCAGTATGACCAATTATACCTACGTAGCTAGTTACTGACTTTTTTCTCCTATTGCAAATGTTGCATATCTTCATTTTACAAAAATGAAAAATAATAGCTAACATAAAAAGCTATAACCGTATCCATCTAGAGATAATGATTTTTTATACCCACACACATATACCTACAAATATGCATTTCATAATTAAAAACAGAATTTTACTGAATAGATTCTTTTGTAACTTTTTTTTTGTTCATATAATTTGGGACCCAGTTTTAATTTTTAATACCAATTCTGTATCTTACAAGGCACTATCTTAGTTAGTTTGGGCTGCTATAACAAAAATATCATCAACTTGTCTTAAACAGCAAACACTTAGTTCTCACACATCTGGAGGCTGGAGGTCCAAGATCAAGGTGCTGGGAGATTGAATGTCTGACAAGGGCTGCTTCCTGGTTCACAGACAGCATGCATTCTCTGTGTCCTCACATGGTGGAAGGGACAAGGAAGTTCTCTGGGGCCTATTTTTAAGGTCACTAATCCTGTCGTGGGGGCTCCACCCTCATCACTCCTCAAAGGTCCCACCTCCTAACACCATCCCAATGGGAGTTAGGATTTCAACATATAAATTTGGGGGACACATTTAGTCTATAGCGAGTACAGATTCATCACTTGTTTTTCAAAACAGGAAAGACCTTTCTTTCCTGGCAAAGCTACTTGTTTATTTTTGTATGTGAATTTGTTTCAGAGGTGAACCTAAAATGCTATAGAATGTGCTATATATATGGTTGTTACTCTGTTCTTTGAAGGAACCAGCACCATAATTTGGGCCTTGGTATCTTAACATGAGACTATCTCTAAGCAATAGCATGGTTTGGGAGAAAATGTTCTGATGTGTGTACACCTGTTCTCATATAGCATCTGCAGAAGCATTGCTATGGAAGTAGAGAATGCTTAAAATATAGTAATGCTATTCCATAAAAATATGACTCCAAGGCCTTTCAGAGTATCAGCATTGAAGTCACTTAATTCTGGAGTGTATGATTTGGCAAACTACCAAAGAGACTAATGGCCAACCCACTCTGGTGTTCCTTGGCCACCCGGACACAGCTGTTTCCAGCAAAAATGCAGGAATGATGGTCTGACTTGACGTCATGCTCACACTCACTTTCCTTTGTGTCATTGATTCCTCCAGGCTTCACATGAAGTCAGCGCAAGTCACCCTAATCTTCTCTGCTTGCTGCTCTAAGGAGTAAGAGCTATGTTCTTGTGAGAAGAACAAACACACAGATGCAAAAATTCAGGTCAGGGGATCAATAACATGAAACCTTTGTGATATCTATGCCTCATTTGTTTACCATAGAATAACAAATCAAAACACTGATAAAGCAATAAATAAGTATTTAAATAGTGTATAAGTTATACATACTAAATGTTATCTCAGTTAGATAGATAATGCAGAAGCCCCAGAAACAAACTGAAAGGTATTTGCAGCTCAGAAATGGCTTCTTGCTCAATGAGGAAGGTTGTGATAGCATTAGGAGGACAAGATGGATAAGCAGATGCTTTTAAGTGGTGTTGGTGAGTGGGTACGCCATTATGATTTTTCAAACCTAGTTCATCCAAACCTTTTATATAGTTTAGAAGAGCACTGAAATATTTAATGAAATGTTTGATATTCAAGCTAATGGATTACTTGACTAAACTGGGGAAGTAAGGGAGTCTGTTTGGGGCTTAGAGACAGATGCTACAGTACCCACCTTCTGCCCTCCAGATGAAGAGCATAGGTGGGCCGAAGGCTCCGGGCTGCTTCTAGCCAGTGGTAGACACTCCGGAAAGTGAATTCCACTGGACCATTTTCACCCCAACAGAAAGGTTCCTTCTCAGTGAGCCATTGTCAGAAAATGACAAATAGAGTAGCCTTTAGAATTAAGGTTGCTAGAAATATGTTTTACTTCTACTTTATTTACATACGCCCTTTCCAAAACTATGTCACGTGTATTCTTTCATCTATTTAAGTGCCATCGCTAGAGTTTGATAGAAGCATGTCTTCATTTCTCTTTAAAAAAATGAGGGACTTGTGGTGTAGAGCACTTTGTGCGTAGATCTGCTATCCCTGGCCTGTGGTTCAACTGCACGGGCATATTTCAGAGCTTGCTTTGATGAGAAGCAAGAACTAACAGTGCACATAAGCCCTTCAAGGAATAGTGCTCATTAAAATTTAACTATGATAGTTTTACCAAGTGAATAATACTGCCATATTAACATAGCAGAGAATTCTATTATGAGTAGTGTACAAGCTTTGATTATGCAAGGGGAAAACATCGACTAACCCACAGGACACGAGGCATGAAAGAAATGAAGAGTAACACTCACATGCTTCTGCAGCTGGGCAGAGAGAAGGGGACATAAGTTAACAGAGCCACGTAGGAAATGCCTGTTGTTCTACCCAATGGAGGAGCAGTTTTTAGTGCTATCCTCAAAAATCAACTTTCTTTTCCTCTATCAAGATTTAGCATTAAAAAATCTTCTTATCTATAATAGATAGAGCACTAGGGTCCTAAAAGAAAGAGTAATCTTCATGTAATTAGTAAATTAAATGGTAGTATTGAGTCAACCAATGACTTCTGAAGAAAGATTTCTAAGAAAAAAGATACTCCTTCTTAAAAATAACAATGATGGAGATGAAGTAAATATTGAGAACATTTATAAGTAGAAGATGAGAAAAATAATTTTATTGAATGAAGTGACATCACAGAGCAGAATGCTATGAGGCAAAAAAATGTTGTGAGACTCTCAAAAATTCATCAAACAAACAGGAAATATAAAAGCTCTAGAAACTACAGGACCAGATCAGATGAGAAACCACCCTGTCACTCACAGTAACGGAAGACCCCACACTTAACCTCAGAACAACAAAAAATAGCATTACCAACAGCACGGCACATGGTGTATATCATTGTACTTTTATTAACTATGACTATGGTTAAGTTTATAGGGTAAACTTATAGGGATTTACCTATAAACAATTTTAAATAAATTTAAAAATTTATAGGGGTTTACCTATAAATTCGTTTATAGGGGCACTAAAGGTGTTTTACATTTTCAAGGGACTCTCAGAGACAGTTGACAACTGTCAGATAGCAGGTGAATGACTTGTTCAAAGCAGTTCAGAGTTCAGCATCGATTTTATTAACTTCCTTTTGACAGCATCATTTCTTTGTAAAGCTGGGGTTTTCACAGTTGCCATGATTTAAAAAAAAAAAAAAGAAAAAGCAAACACTGGCAGGACATCGACATGGAAAGCCAGCTAGGTGCAGGATCTCATGTGACGTTAAGGTTTATGGAGTTCTATCTGCCCAGGTGGCCCAAGACCCATGCGTAAGTAAGGGAGGTCATGTGTGAATAAAACTAAAAAATAACTTTCTTTCAATGTATGTGAACTATTTTCAACGTATGTGAACTATTTCCAGTTGTTAGGACACACATATATATTAGGTAATTTGGGCCTGACAATTTGATACATGAAACCGGCATTTCTTTTGGCTTGGGGTATGTCATGGGAAAAATTACTGAGATATTCAGGGATGCTTGAACTGAAAAAGTTTGTTATCTCTAACAGATAATACAGATACAGCTCTTACTTTACAAAATAGAGTGAATCTTTTCTATGCAAATTTTGGCATCTTAATTTGGCATCAGATAAGGCACCCTTTCCATTTTATCTCTGTTTAAACTGTGTAAGCAGAGATGAGGGGTGAGAATTGGTCTCCTCATCTGTCCTCCAGATTCCTCCCATGGCATCAACAATGTGTACCCCAGAACTCTTGAATTGCGGGTCGGAATCATCAAAATACAGAGTAAATTTTAAAAGTGAAATTATGTTCCTCATTCATGACACTCACAGTTTACTCTCACTTCTGTCACCCCCTTTCATAGGTCTGGGTAGGTGATGTCAACTTCCACAAAAACTGGAACTCTCCAGGCAGAAGCGGAACACCATTCCCAAAGTGAGACAGAGGAGTGCATGATGTATGTGAATTGTAGACAAGAGGGGCTTCCCCCACGATTGGAACAGCGCACCCACTCTCACATGGCAACGCTGGCTGGTGTTAAGCAGCTACCTGCAGTGCTCTGCCCAGGTAGCTCTGCAGTGCTAGGTCCTGAGGACACACCGAGCTCGGTGGGAGGTGGTGAGAGAAGTGATGAAGAGGAAGCCTGAGTGGCGTCTTCACACCATCCCAGCTCCAGCCCCTCCAAGCATGTGGACAAGTGCGTGGATGACAAAATGCAGAACATTACCGTGGAAAAGCATCCACCCATCTCTACTTTTTGAGGGTGACTTTTAATATGGTGAATAGGAAAAGCTATAAGAATGCTAATTTCCAGAAGTGCAAAAGATATAAAAAGAGATATAAAAGAATGAATTATCAGTGGATACATGTCATTACACATTTGTCCAAACCTGTAGAATGTGCAACACTCAGTGAACCCAGATGCAAAATATGGACGTCAGTGATGAGAATGTGTCAATGCAGGCTCATCAGTTGTAACAAATATACCGCTCTGCTGGGATGTTGATAATGGAGAAGGCTGTGGTATGGGAAATCTCTGTACCTTCTGCTCAATTTTGCTATTAGACTAAAACTGCTCTAAATAATAAAGCATTTTAAAGAAAAAACTGGGGACACCAAGGAGGAACACACACTTTGTAAGTCTGTCACAGTTATCCAAGAAACAAGTGAGGTGGAAACAGATACTCAATTAGAATTCCATTCCATTCCTATGGCAGCCTAGACCCAAGACAAGACCCTCGAGGCAGGGAAAATGGAGAGTTCAATCTTCTCCTGCCTGGAGTTTCTGTTTTACTAAAGTGTGTGTGAGGTAGGACTGGTTCAGGTTCCGGAGAGCCAGGAGCATGTAAGTACCTCCTTGCAGCTTACTTGGGAAAACATCTACATTTTATAACTTATACATATGTTTGAATAAAACACTCCAGGGGAGCACCAAATTATAGGCTACCAGCTGGTCATGAGTAAGAAAACAACATGAGGATGGCGCCTCCGCTCCGATAGCAGGCTAGCTTACCTCCGTCCCCAGCCTCTCCCAAATTGTAATGGAGACCATGGAGGAAATGTCTGGCCTGCATATGCCTGTGGCTCTGATACATTTTCCTGGGTCAAGGGATTGCAGCAGTTCCAAAATTGATACAGTTCTGAGATAGAGTGTGTCCTAAACACAAGGCCAGGCAAATTTTAATCACATGATTGTTGAATTGGAGTTTGCCCCGAGCATAATTTGAGATGGTGAAAATCACTTTCCTCATTGAGCCCACTAATGAGAGGGTTGTGAGTCCTCAAGGGCAGCCCTGCCTCTGAAAAGAGCAGCACTCCACCAGACCAACCAGACCGAGAGGTGAGGGTTTAGTTTGTCAGTCGCAGGTGGTTCAGAAGGACCTTGCCAGGAGAAAATGTGATGAAAGCTCAGAATAAAGGCAACAGATTCCAGGAGGGACACCTGCCCATGCAGCAGGTGACCATGGGGGTGTCTCTGTCTTGCACTCTGAGCAGCCACATGTCAGCGCTACCTGGCTGGGGTCAGACCAGCCTCACGTGGGTCCTCAGAGCAGACCTCTCACCAGTGTCTGCACAGGAGTCCCCTGGGGACCTTGTTAAAATGCAGATTTGTTTTTGGACAACATACCACATGCTCATCCTTTGAACTAGAGAAGCAGAGACAAAAGCTTAAGTGAAAATGTGGGCATTTTGATTCTTTCAAAATATATTTCTTTTTCTTTTAATAATGATATTTGCTTCTCTTTTGTGACATTATCATCTTATTATGTGGCTCTCAGGGCAAATTTCAATCAAAAAACCCTGTTTTCCTCAGCCAAGTAGTGAGCAAGTGACTTAAAGGCAAGTAAAAATTTGAAAAGACAGACAGATAGATAAGTGATAGATAGATGATAGATGACAGAGATAGATGATTGATAGAAGAGTGATGATATATGGATGATAGATGATTGATATATGAAGATAGCTAGATGATAGATAATAGGTAAATATATAGACAGACAGAGACAGATGATAGAGAGAGAGAGAGAGATGATAGATAGATGATAGATAGATAGATGATAGAGGATATGTAGATAGAAACAGATGATATATGCATGGTAGATGATTGATAGAAGACAGATGATAGAAAATAGATGATAGGTAATTGATATATGATTGATAGCTACTGATATTTAAGATAAAAGAATAACAAAATCAGATACAACATTAGTACACCACAAATGATAGTGTTCCTATTCAACCACAATGAACACATCAAAAATAAAATAGATTACATTGGTTTATGTGCCAGTTATAGCAAACTTTTAAAAACTAGATGATTCTTATTTATATAAATTGTTCCAGAATATAGAAAAGAACAGAAAGCTACCCTAAACTCATTTATTATGCTAACAAACCTTTATATCAAAACTGGGCAAGGAAAAACTTTACAGATATCAGTATAGATAAAAATATGGACATATGTAATCCCGCTTTAGAACATAAAACAGAGGATAAAATACATTAAAATAGTGCACAACAGTATTTTTAAAGAATGATAAATCATGATAAAGTCCTGGCCAGAGTCTGGGGAACTGAGGACGCTCATACACTTTCTATCAAAATATACCACGGGTCCTCCTTTTTCATACAGTTTTACAGTTCTAAAAGTAAAACATGCTATGCAATGTTTTCAGTATATAAGCAAAATATATAAGCATGGTTTATAATTAAGAATTGGAAGAAACTGAAATTTTCATTAATAAGTAATTAGGGGAGAAAATTAAAGCACATTCATATACACTAGGGTTTAATAAAATTGTTGATATAATTATTTTATTGACAAGGGCAGAGCCCTGAAGTCTGATGTAGAGGGAAAGTCAGAGTGATAGAAAATAATTCACCATATAATCCATTTATAAAAGATTAGTGGGAATATGCATAGTGAGATAACTCAAGTCCTGGTCATCAAAAATCTCCATAAAAGATTATTTTTATTTTATTTTTTATTATTATTATTTTTTGAGACAGGGTCTCACTCTGTTGCCCAGGCTGGAGTACAATGGCATGATCTCGGCTCACTGCAGCCTTGACCACCCAGCCTCAAACGATCCTCCCACCTCAGCCTCCCACGTGTCTGGGATGACAGGCACGCACCACCACACTTGGTTAATTTTTTTCTTGTATTTTTTGTAAAGATAGCATCTCACTGTTGCCCAGGCTCGTCTCGAACTCCTGGACTCAAGTTATCTGCCCACCTCAGCCTCCCAAAGTGCTGGAATTACAGGCGTGAGCTACCACACCTGGCGTATAGATATTTTCTTCTAGGTAATGTAATTTGGGATATTTTTTCCCTTTTTTTTATCTTTTTCTTATGATTTTAATACTTTTCAAAGATCATGTATTATTTTTGAAAACCAATAACAATTTCTCAATAAATAAATAATCTCATTATAAATATATGTTCTCAGTAGAAATACCAGAAAATGAAGCAAATTGAATAAAAAAATTAAACATCATATAAATTCGTCCAACCTGAGTCACCATTAACCTTTTTGTTTTTTATCCATCTACATATTTATTTTCATGTTTTTAAGTGAAAAGAGGAAAATAAGCCTGTTATATAATGACTTCAATGTTTTATCTTACAATTGATCATAAGTGATTTTTAATGTTAGAGAATATTCTCATGAAATGAACTTTTTAATGGCCACACATTGCAAAACACATATAATTCATTTAACCAACTGCCTATTACTGAACAATTAGGAGAGCTGTGTTTTAAAATAGCCATTAGGAGTTAATGACCTAGGTTTGTGTTATTTCCAAAACAATATAAGCTCATAAAAATGCACAGCCTTTGTGAGCTCTGTATTCTGTAAAATGTCTAACATTGGGAGTACTCTGATAAAACAGGATGATCCCATCCAGCCAGAATCAATCCCCTCACAGATACAGTGAAAATTCTGTGCCATTAAGGCTGTGGAAAATGTAACACTTTTTCCTGTTCCTCACATTTCAAAGCACATTTAGATCAACCTAAGACTTACGTCTCTCCCGTTGCTATATTTATAAAGCTTGACAATTTTGTTGTTGCGTGCATAGTGCTGAATCTTCAGCGCCTAGGAGATGGGGCTGCATTTCTTGTATGTCACTTAATAGCTGTAGTAGCTAGGACAGGATATTCAACCTTTTCCTGAGCCCCGGTTCTCTCATCCCTAAAATGGCTGTCATGTCATTTAGGGTATCCAGTTCTTAATGGAGTCCAAGGTACACAGCTGGCTCTCACAGCACATGGTTCATTGCCATTACCATCGCTGCTGCTAATGCTGTTTCTTAAATAACATGCCCAGGAATGTGCCAGGATATTTACTGCTACAACATTTTCAAATCAGTATTTAAATATTGCACTTCAAAAGTGAAATACACCTTACTGTTCATTTCCTGAAAGATAACTCGGGGGAGCTGTTAGGACATTTCTGACGTGCTATACTTTATGGAATATTATTGTTTGAACATACACAGCACTTGGTGGAAGGCTAAGCTCATATGCAGCTCTGAGCTGCCTAGCCCCAAAGACAAATTCTTTACCCCCAATACATCCAATGTACATTGGTGGAGAAGGATAAGGATGAGGGCGATGAAACTCACATTTTCAGAGGGGAGGACGGGACACCCAGCAGTCACTTGTTCCTGGAACTACCACAGCCACACCCTTAATGCCCCCCGATTCTGCTCCTTAGAAGGGCTGTGAGCATTGCGATATGTCTTATGAGTATAGATCCCAGGATTCCAGGTTTCAAGGCTGTTAAAAGCCAGACTTTGGTTTTACATGGTGGTAGATTTTTCTGAAAATGTGGTGAGATTCCATTTTATTGGCTTTTAGTTAATGGCATCATGAGTACAAAACCGTACCTCCTCCTCTGTGCAAACTGTTACTTCTTAGGTTCAGTGCATTTCTTAGTACCAAATTCTCTAATGCTGATTAAGCTAGATAGACTTTAGCTTCTCTTTCACCTGTGAAAGAGCACAGGTGTCTGGAACCCAGGGCTTCTGCACCGCTCCACTCTGCAGACACCCAGGTTCCTTTCTCCTCTGCTCCACCCTACTGGAATTGCACTTGCCCTCATGGCTGCAGGTACTTTATGGAAAGCGCAAAATGGTGCAGAGCTGCCCCTTATTACAGAGCTTTAGGTAATGAAAACAGGCATATGAGACAGACAACTGCAAGGCTACCCCTTACACGTCATTAATTTTCATAATTTAAATGATTGCCTTAGTTATTTTTTCCATTACTGCTCCTTTCCATTCAACTTGCAAAAATGCATCACTAACACAAAGCTAGAATTTTTCAGGGAAGTCCAAGAAGGAAAAGGAAACTAATAGAACCTAAATTTTTCCATAAGACAAGATCTATTTAGTTAGCTGTTATTTAGCTTTCAACTCCCACAAGCTACTATATCAAATATTAAATAACCACTGTACTTTGCAATAATATTTTAATTTGGTAGCATATTAGAAATTTCTATTTTTTCTTCTAAAAGAGCACATCTTAAATTTTTAGCAAGGTCATATGTGAACTTGGAATTTCACAAATAGAAATCTGCTTTATAGAAACCCTGTGGAAAAAGATTCTACAAAATGTGCATGTAGTATACCTTAAAAAAGTCATAAATAGGCCGGGCATGGCGGCTTATGCCTGTAATCCCAGCACTTTGGGAGGCCAAGGCAGGCGGATCAAGAGGTCAGGGGTTCAGGACCAGCCTGGCCAAGATGGTGAAATCCCATCTCTACTAAAAATACAAAAGTTAGCTGGGCATGATGGCATGCACCTTTATTCCCAGCTACTCGGGAGGCTGAGGCAGAGAATTGCTTAAACCCAGGAGACGGAGGTTGCAGTGAGCCGAGATTGCACCACTGCACTCCAGCCTGGGTGACAGAGTGAGACTCCATCTCAAAAAAAAGAAAAAAGTCATAAATAAACTATCTGTATTTACTTCAGATTCAATGAGAGACCAAGATTATATCAAAATAAAAACGAGAATCATGGACCTAAATACAGAGTATTAGTCCGTTCTCCCACTGCTATAAATAAATACTTGAAACTGGGTAATTTATAAAGAAAAGAGGTTTGATTGGCTCATGGTTCCACAGGCTGTACAGGAAGCATGGTTGGGGAGGCCTCAGGAAACTTAGAATCATGACAGAAGGCGAAGGGGAAGCAGGTGCATCTTACATGGCAAGAGCAGGAGGAACAGAGAGAAGGGGGAGGGGCCACACACTTTTAAACAACCAGATCTTGTAAGAACCCACTCACTGTCACAATAACAGCAAGGGGGAAATCGGCCCCCATGATCCAATCATCTCCTACCAGGCCCTACCTCCAACATTGGGGATTAGAATTCAACATGAGATTTGGGTGGGCACACAAATCCAAACCATATCAGCTATAAATCTAAGTATTCTATTCACATATTTTAATATGCATATCTTTTATTCATTTTATAAATTAATAGTTATATGTCCATTGCTTTTTTACATGTATATAATCAACTTCTTTATTCTACCAATATTTCATATTTTTTGTTATAGTCTCAAAATTACACCATATGTTAAATTTCTTTTAGTTAATGCAGCAAATTACCCATGTCTTAGACATTCACATATACTAACAATGTTGTGTTTTAATTGTAGAGAGAAACTGTTTCTTTAATCTGTTTGTCATATGCAGTATTTAAAGAGCAAATAAGAAAAGACATAAATTGCTATTTTTATTTTAGAATGTTTATTCTTTCCCTATCTAAACAATGCAAATATCTTCATTAAAGTATAGTTAGAAAGCATAGAGAATTAGAAAAAATAAGGTACCCTATTACAACAAACAATTGCAACCACCATTAACACTTCCATGTCTTTTCACCCAGTTTTCAGTTACAAACATATCACATATATCACATGCCTATTTAGTACATTTTATCAACTAGTAATTTGTTGTAAATGTAATTTTAACAGCCTCAATATTTAAAAAAAATAGATGCACTGTAGTTTATATAATGTTTCCAATATTTGGATAATTTAGTCATGTTCAGGGTTATTATGCATTATTATGCATAAATAATATTGCATTGTTTAACATTTATGTTTTTGCCCAATACTTATGTCAAAAAGTGTGATAGGTGACCACTTTCACTGGCGATATATAGGTAATGATTCTTACCCTTACTGAGCTCGCCACCAGTAGGGAGACAACCATTAAAACAAATAATTTGAATGCAATATGCAAAGTGGACTGGGATCAGAGTGATAAGAGACTTTAATGCTGATGGCTTGCTCAACTTTATTTCTTAATTTGAGATAATTTCCTTTGGATAAGCTTCCTTCTGGAAGTGCAATAAGTGAATCAACAGGTAATGGCATTTTTTTTATTTTATATATATATATATATATATATATATATATTAGTTTAAGTTCTGGGTTACATGTACAGAACGTGCAGGTTTGTTACATAGGTATACATGTGCCATGGTGGTTTGCTGCACTTATCAACCCATCATCTAAGTTTTAAGCCCCACATGCATTAGGTATTTGTCCTGATGCTCTCCCTCCCATTGCCCCTCACCCCCAGACAGGCCCCAGTGTGTGATGTTCCCCTCCCTGTGTCAATGTGTTCTCATTGTTCAGCTCCCACTTATGAGTGAGAACATGTGGTGTTTGATTTTCTGTTCTTCTGTTACTTTGCTGAGAATAATGGTTTCCAGCTTCATCCATGTCCCTGCAAAGGACATGAACTTATTTTTTATGGCTGCATAGTATTCCATGGTGTATATGTGCCACATTTTCTTTATCCAGTGAATCATTGATAGGTATTTGTGTTGGCTTCAAGTCTTTGCTATTGTAAATAGTGCTGCAATAAACATATGTGTGCATGTATCTATAGTAGAATGATTTATAATCCTTTGGGTATATACCCAGTAATGGGATTGCTGGGTCAAATGGTATTTCTGGTTCTAGATCCTTGAGGAATTGCCACACTGTCTTCCACAATGGTTGAACTAATTTACACTCCCACCAACAGTGTAAAAGCATTCCTTTTGTTTCTTAATTTGGGATACTTTCCTTTGGATAAACTTCCTTCTGGAAGTACAGTAAGTGAGTCAATAGGTAAGGACATTTTTAAAGCCTTTGAAAAACTGGCCAGCATTTCCAGATCAAAGTTAAGTAACAATGGTTACTTATGCAACCTGATTCTGAGTTTGTTCTCCCCAATCACATCAAGGTTATGCACAATTAAGTATCACTTTGAAATAGATATGTTTTATCTTAATAAAGAATACTTTCATTTACTAATAAGATAAGCAATGAGTTTTGAACTCCATGGAAATCCTTCTCAATACCTATAAGCATTCAACTATTCTTAATTGACTTATTGGCGTATTATATGTATTATATTGATGAAACTATATTTCTTATAGTCATGTTTTTCACATTCTTCATGTCTACATAACTGGTCTTAGTTATTGTATCTGTGTACTCTTGAATTATATTTGGTAGTGTTTTCAAATTATTGATTCATATTCATAAATAAAATTTGTCTATTATTTTCTTAAATGATATTTTTCTTGTTTTGCTGTCATATGTGTTCTTTCTAGAATAAGTTATTTTCCAATTATTTTTCTTCCATTCACTTATTTGATGTGTAACCAATGTTGTTTAGCCTCTTTTCATCTGTAAGATGTTTACATCTACTGCACCCCTACTTACTAAGGTCGTTTTAAGGACTAAATTTAAAGCATAATAGTGCCTGGAATACTTAGCAAAAGACATTTTAATGCTCCAAACATTTTGTTATTTTGGAACATCTAAAACCTCAATTGAACTGCCCCTTCCATGAGTGATGTGCCGGCTTTCCCTTTGCCTTCCGCCATGATCCTGCTTCCTGAGGTTTCCCCAACCATGCTTCCTGTACAGCCTGTGGAACTGTGAGCCAAATTCAACCTCTTTCTTTATAAATTACCCAGCTTTAGGTATTTGTGTTTCATTTATGTTTGAAATAATTTACCATTAAAAGTGAATAAACTCATAGTTTTTGTTTGTTTTTTTAGACAGTCTCTCTCTGTCACCCAGGCTAGAGTGGAGTGGCACGATCTTGACTCACTGCAACATCCACCTCCCAGGTTCAAGTGCTTCTCCTGCCTCAGCCTCCTGAGTAGCTGAGATTACAGGTGCATACCACCAAGACTGGTTAATTTTTTATTTTTAGTAGAGTCAGGTTTTCACCATGTTGGCCAGACCAGTCTCAAACTCCTGACCTTAAGTGATCTACCTGCTTTGACTTCCCAAAGTGTTGGGATTACAGGCGTGAGCCACCACACCCTGCCATAAATGTTTTTTTTTTAATTTCAGGGGCAGGAGGTAGAGCATATGAAAATTGATCATATATCTCTAATAACATCACAATTTCTTCTTTGGGTTCTCACTGACTTCATGGCCTCTAATACAATGCTGATTGTGTTTTTTAATTTGTCTTGCTTAGAATTTCTGTTTTACTCTTTATATCTATTTTACAGTGTTTGTCATAATGCTTTTTATCCATTTTTTAGACTGTGGTATGATTTTTTGGTGTATATTGCTCTATGAGTTTTGACAAATTAATATAGTAATATAATCAAGATATATATTTGTTCCAATGCCCCAAAGAGTTACCCAATACTAGTCTACAGTGAAATGCCTTACTTACTCCCAGACCCAGGCAACTACTGAAATGCTTTGTCTCTAGGTTTTTTCTTTTTCAAGGTGTAATATGAATTACATAATATGTAGCCTTCTGTGTTAGTCTCATAAAAATATCTTTTACTCAATACATTGCATGTGAGATTTATCCATGTGGTTGTTTTTTATTACTGAATAGTATTTTATGAATGTACTATACTTTCTTTATGTATTTCCTAGTTGAAAGACATTTCCAAAATGTGATGTTCACAAATAAAGCTGCTGTAAACATTTGCGTATAGGTCCACCTGTGACCACAGTTTTAACTTCACGTGATCAGATGCCCAGGAAATGAATTGATGTGGCATATGAGCAATCATATTTAATTTCTGGTTAGAATGTAATAATAAGGATCTAATTTACTCTTATTATTGAAAAGAACTTAAAAATACTGGACAACATATGTGAAGCAATTGTTTTAAGATATTAGACATCAAGCAATGGAGGACAGTGATCATTGAGAGAGGAGAAGCAAGGAGGATGAGCCCTAGGATTGCCTCAGTTTCCCACCTGATCAAAAGCTTCCAGGCCACAACACAGAAAAGGAAAACACATTTTAGATATAAAGGAAAATAGACTAACATTAAAATGACGAATACAAGCTATATCATGAAAATACTATTCAAAAGAAGCTGGTGTGGCTATATGACATCAGACAAAGAAGACTTCTGAACCAACACTATTACTTTGCATAAATAAAGTCATTTCCTAATGAAAAAGAAGTCATATCATCTGGAGAATATAAAACTTTTAAATGTTTGTATGACTGATACCAGGGCTTCAAAATACATGAAGTAAAAGCTTATAGAAGTTCAAGGAAAAATGAGCAAAGCCACAGTCAGAGTTCTCAACATGCTTGTTTAAAAATTGTCAGACAAGTTAACAGAAATTTGGACATTGTCTGTCTTGGTGAACATTTGTTGAGCACTGGAAAATAATACGCAGCTATTGGCCAGAGTGTTCTATACATGTCAATTAGACTCTGTTAGTTAATGTTTCTGCCGATATAAGTTTCTGAACCATCTTGTGGGTTTTCTGTGTATGATACGGAATTCACTCCATTTATATAAGAGGCTCATTCCCAGATCTCTCTAGTTTCTAGTTTTGGCTTCAGCTGAGAAGGCTGGATTGCAATATCCTTAAGTTTCCTAGATGTTCTCTGGTCTCATTAAGAGGATTTTTTACTCACAAAATTAACCTCTTCTAAGAGCCTGACGCTTATGACTGAACACTCTAGATAGGCTGAGAATTCCTCAAATTATAAACTCCTGGACCAATTTTATTTTATAGCTCTTCCCTAATTTATCACTTTCTTCTCACATTTTACTGTAAGCAGAAAACAAAAACAAAAAACTGTTTCCACCTTCAACACTATGCTTGGAAATCACCTCCACTAACGGTCCGATTTCATCATTTAAAAGTTCTGTTTACTGCACAATTACAGGACATAACCCCACTAAGCTTTCTGCCATGTATGTGGCAATGATTCCCTCTCCTCCAGTTTCCACTTACATGTTTCTTCTTTTCCTCCTGAGCTCTCAGCAACAGTGATTTTAATGTCTATATTTCTACCAGTCATCTATTAATGATGATTTTGGTATTCTTTAATATGAATTAGGTTTTCTCTACATGCTCCTCACTTCCTTCTGAGTCCTCACTATCAGAATCATTACAGTGCCTCTTTCTGCGAACAGTCTGTTTAAGACAATCTAAGCTGTTTTTATTATTCTACTCAAAATTCTTTCAGCCTTTGCCCATTGGCCAATAGCAAATTTACCTCCCTGATTTTGGAATTTTCCACAGCAGTACCTTGCTTCTGGGCATCAAAAGCTGGATGCTCTCGGGCTGCTAACAAAGACATACCCAAGACTGGGTAATTTATAAAGAAAAAGGGTTTTAACGGACTCACAGTTCCACATGGCTGGGGAGGCCTCACAATCATGGTGGAAGGTCAAGGAGAAACAAAGTCACGTCTTGAATGGCAGCAGGTAAGAGAAGCATGAGTTCCCGGTGAAAGGGGAAGCCCCTTAAAAGCCATCGGATCTCCTGAGAACTAATCACTATCATGAGAACAGGATGGGGGAAACCGCCCTCATGGTTCAATTATTTCCACCTGGTCCCTGCCACAACACGTAGGGATTATGGGAACTAAAATTCAAGATGAGATTTGGGCGGGGACACAGGCAAACCATATCATTCCAGCACTGGCCTCTCCCAAATCTCATGTCCTCACATTTCAAAATACAATCATGTCCTTCCAACAATCTCTCAAAGTCTTAATGCATTCCAGCATTAACCCAAAAGTCCAAACACAAAGTCTTATCTGAGACAAGCAAGTCTTCTACCTAGGAGCCTGTAAAATCAAAAGCCAGTTAGTTACTTCCTAGATACAATGGGGATACAAGCATTGGGTAAATACAGCCATTCCAAATGGGAGAAATTGGCCAAAACAAAGGGGCTACAGGCCCCACACAAGTTCAAAATCCAATAGGGCAGTCATTAAACCTTAAAGTCCAAAAAATGATCTCCTTTGACTCCATGTCTCACATTCAGGTCATAGTGATGCAAGAGGTGAGTTCCCATGGCCTTGGGTACTGGATAACTTTTATATTGCTAATATAACAAATTACCACAAACTTGACTTAATGAAAACTTATTTTCTTATAGTTCTGTAAGTTAGAAGTCCCACATGGGTCTCACTGGGATACAAAGACAGTATCAGCAGGGCTGCATATCTTTCTGGAAATTCTAGGGGACAGTCCGCTTATTTGCCCTTTCCAATCTCTAGATGCCACCCACATTCCTTGGCTCATGGCCCTCCTTCATCTTCAAAGCCAGCACCACTGCATCTCTCTGACCACTCTTTCATCGTCACAACTTCTGATCCTAACCTCAGCTGGGAAAGGTTTTGTTTAAGAGCTCATGTTATTTTATTGGGTTCACCTGGATTATCCGGCTCCCCTACCTATCTTGAGGCCATAATCTTACTCTATCTGCAAAATTCCTTTCTTTACATAAGGTAACATGTTCACTAGTTTCAGGGATGGAGGTGTGAACATCTCTGGGGCTCTATAATTCTGCCTTCCATGCCAGCTCAAATATTTTTCCAATATTGCTCAATAGTAAAACACAATAAAATTAATGATTTCCTTGTGATTAGTTAACATATTCATTACTTGATTCAATATCGTGTTTTATTGGCAAATAGTAAACTTTTACAGACATCTCATTTTCATTGAGAACCTTGCATACATTATTTAGAGAATGGCCCCATTCTTTCATATTTCCATAAATATACACATTAACATAAATTTAGAGAAAGGAAGTAATCCAGAAAATAAGAAGAGTGAACATCTCATTGCCATTAGAGTTTTACTGGAAAATTGGCACAGATGCTAGTGCCTCTCTAACTCATGTCACTCCTGCTCGGGCTCCTCTAGAGGAGAAGTTGTGTTTCTCCTTATAAAACAATGTGCAGAGAATCCTTCCCAGTGTTCTGGAGTTTCAGCTAAGACCTCAAAGGTCTTGAGAGTTATTGACAGTAAGTGGCCCCTGTTTTAGAGAGGAATTGTGTACAAGCCTAGAGGATGTGTTAAAAGGTAGCCACACTGAACCAGCAAACACAATTCTCAGGAGTTTACATTATAAAAACAAAGGCTAGCATTTTACTGGGGAAATTTATTTGAAGGAAATTTGTAGTAATCGAGAATGCTATCTTGCAGGTGAACGGGAAGGAGGTACTTGCCCCTTCTGTCCAAATGAGACCCTCAAGAGACCTCAGACAAACACTAACACTCATAATAATACATTTTAAATGCTTACCGTGTTTCTGATGCTGTTCTAAGTACTTTACGTGAGTTGATTCAAACTTTACCACTTTATGAAGTGGATTTTATCTTCCCTATTTTAAAGCTAAGTTGAGACCCAAGATGTTAAGCGATGGCTTCTATTAACATAAATCCTTGGCAGAGCTGTAGAAATTTATAGCTGCACCCAGTACTGCATAAGGAAATTCTCAGCAGAAATTAACATCTGTCCTCTGAAGTTTAGAGGCACAAACACTGGTGTCTGCTCCTCACCCAACGAAGCCTCAGAATGCGGGGCTTGCTGGAGCAGCCCACAATGCCAGAGTGAGGAAGCAAATGAGAACAGCCTGTGCCTCTCAGGAAAAGAATGTGTCAGCTTTCCAAGACCTGAGGGTGCACCACAGAACAAAGCTAGGTTTCAGTAGCTTGAAGAAAACATTTCCAACAGGGAGGCCATGCAAGGGAAGGAGACACCAGGGATATACTGCCAGGGGCAGGAACTGATGGGAGTTTGCAAGAGGTCAGCAGAATGAACTTTGCCTAAATCAGAGAAAGATGCAGTGTGGAGGTCTTAGAGGGGATCTCTGCAGAGTCTGCATGAGTGCTCCCTGAGACAGTCAGTGTTTGGAGGCCTTCCCGACAGAGAGCATTCAACAGCCAAAACAGAACTATGAATAGCACAAACAAAATAAACATTCTGCCATTTTATCTTGGGTTTCTATAGCTTTCTGGAATTGCTCAACCTTCCTGAGCATCAAAGTTATTATTTGCAAAATAGAGGCAATAAGCTACCTTGTAGGGGGTAGCTGTAGAAACAAGATCTAGGGAATGAAAAGCACACTTTCTGACACTATGGCGTGCGAAATAGTGATCACCAATATTATAGACACAGGGCAACCTGGATCCAATGTATATCTGAAGGAGTTTCAACAGCTTTCATTGCATGCTTTTGCTTGAAGAGACCACCTAGTATAGCTGAAAGGTAGTATTTTTATTTATATTTAGCTGAAAAGTAATATTTACATTTATACTCTGAGTTCAGAAGATACATAGGTATGAAATAGAGGTCATACTTGGAAAACTGAAAAAAATTAGTTATTCTTTTACTTTTTTAATTATAAAAATAGTGGCCAGTTAATTCAATTCAAGAAGTTTTCCTAGCATCTATTTTGTGCAAGACAATGTGTAAGCTGCAATGAGTAATCCCATCACAGTGAGGGGATTAAGAGGGGAATAAGAACTAAGATGGAAATAAGACACCACATGAGGGAGAAAACTCAAACACAAGTTAAAAAAAAGAACTTTGAAATGTGAAAAAATAGGGACATTTTGGTATGCCCCAAACTGCAGACAGGCAGTGGGAAAACTGACAGAGAAAACACAAACAAAAGCACGGAGGAGGGCAGAGAGCGAAGAGTGACAGTGATCTGAAGAATGCCGGGAAGTCTCATTTTCAGCCTCTTTTTTTCTTGAGCAGGTAAGAATCGTAGAGTGAAAGATACCAAAATCAAGGTAAAGAAGTCTTTATGTGGCGCGGTGGCTCATGCCTGCAATCCCAGCACTTTGGGAGGCCAAGGCAGGTGGATCACGAGGTCAGGAGTTCAAGACCAGCCTGGCCAACATGGTGAAACCCCGTCTCTACTAAAACTACAAAAATTAGCCGGGCACAGTGGCAGGCACCTGTAATCCCAGCTGCTCGGGAGGCTGAGGCAGGAGAATCGCTTGAACCCAGGCGGCAGAGGTTGCAGTGAGCTGAGATTGCACCACTGCACTCCAGCCTGGACAACAGAGAGACTCTGTCTCAAAAAAAAGAAAAAAAAAAAGAAAAGTCTGTATGCAATGGGAATCTCTGGAAGACTTTTAGAGATGGAAATCATATTGATTGAGAGAAAAGCAGTGTGTGCTGTTTAGGAGAGACTGAAGGAGGTATGGAATAGGAACAGGGAGATCTAATAGGAAACCATTAGAGAAGTACTTAACTGGCAAGAAGTAACGAAATCATGGACAGAGACTATGGAATTAGAAAAAAGAGAGAACATGTAGGGACTTAGTAAGATATAATGGCCCACGACGAGAATCGCTTGAACCGGGAGGTAGAGGTTGCAGTGAGCCAAGATCACGCCACTGCACTCCAACCTGGGTGACAGAGACTGTGTCTCAAAAAAAAAAAAAGAAAAGTTGTAAAGGCCCACATTTATACTACTAGTTGGAGAAATTCAATAATAGAAAATACAATGAATATCTAAAACAACTTTAAAAAATCAATTTCATAATATAATTGAGAAGCCAAAAAGATTGGTGCAATGGGAGTCATTAACAAGAAATAGCAAAGAACCATGCCTGCCTCTGAATTAACTAACTAAACAATATGGCACTTTAAAAGCATGATGCAAGTGTAATATAAATGAAGCCACTGGCTCATTAAGCATACACGTTAACATCGTATACTGGCCAATGTTGGTATTGCTGGAAAAATGAGAGAAACCACAACATTGTTACGACTCGATTTCTCAAAAATTTGACCAATAAAGTGTATTCTAAAGCAAACAATCTTACACGTTTCTGGAGCATTTAGGGATACTACATATCACGGGAAAGTTTTATCTAATAGAAGTTGTAAAAGCCCAATGTATTTCTAGAAAGGTAAACAGAAAATTGATTCATATTTAAAGGTGTTTTAATTAACTATTTATTGTATATGTTTAAGGCATACAACATGCTATTTTGACATAGTAGGTATACATACTAAAATGGTTACCATTGTCAAGCAAATCAACACATCTGTCATCTCACATAGCTTGCTTTACTGTGTGTTCAGTAAAAGCACTAAAAATCTACTGTCTTATCATATCTTCAGTATATAATATAATATTATTAACTATAATCTTCATATTACATTAGATGTCTTTCTATTCTTCCTGTTCCCAAGATGTTGCAAATGGAGAAAGTAGGGTCATTAATAGCGACTGCTTGTGTCAGGTTACATGCAGAGAAAACATATTTATATCATAGATTGCTTAAAGTGAGCATTCTAACATTAGGGCATGTATTTAATATATATTTTAGTGATTTTTAAAATACTACCTTCCATGGATATGAAAATATTGAATTTTCAAAGTTATTCTTTGTACTTTCTGCTTGGCTCTTTGAGCATACCACACACTGTGGGCTGTGGCAATTGTTATTACTTTGTTTCTACTAACAAAAACTTTGTGACATCCAGAAACCTCACACATAACTTGTGGTTGTACACAGCCTAGAAACAGAGTCCCAAGTTTGCTTTCTCCACACTTTATAAAAAGATGCTATTTAATTGTACTAAGATTGAATATAAACACCAAAGAGATGATTATTGTCTCTTTGTATGTGTGTGTACACAGGGGCACAATATTTTTATAATTGTTAAGAGATTAGTTTGGGTGGTAATGAATATATCACCATAATTATGTGACTGTATTACATAATCCTGAAGAAATACCCCCAAAATAATTTTCAGCTTTGTATTAGGAAAGAATTGACTTTCTATACTTAAAAGTTATTAGTTTGTTCCTGAATCTAGACCTTGGCCAAAGCTGTATTCGGTGGGGAAGAAATCTTATCAAATTAATACTTTTTATTTTGTTTCAAGTACAAATCACAAGTTCAATGCTTTGTTTACTTATGCAAAGAATTTTGACTTGAGATTTTTAAAAACTTGTTAAAGTGCCCATTAGTTAGGATATAAATGAGTGCCAGACTTATTTATAAAATAAAATCATATTTGAGTTATAGACTGTAATCCAAAGAGGTGAAAAACATGTGTCTTTACAATGAGATACACATAAAGTAAAACACTGTTTCCTGTTTCGCCTATTGTTTACTCCTGGAGACAAAAAAATAACAATTCTGTACTTAATTATGATAGCCATGTAGTCAAATTGAATTGTGGAGCAGAATTTATGAAAAACAGTCTGCCACCATCTAAAATGAGGTTAAATAATTATAATTTGAAGAGAAGTGAGGCAAAAATAGAAGTAAACTTATTTCCAATTCATTTTTACTGTTTGCAATTTAATTATAGAAGTGCTTTACATCTGGCATAAGATTTCTATTTTATCTCATGTTTCCTTAAAAATGTTTTCAAAGCTGTTATTTACCTTTTATAAGATACCAGCAGAAAAACAATTCGTATTGTAAGTTCCCTGAATAAATATGAGTATGTTACACTAATCGTGTATATACATCAGGCAATGTATGCCTATCTCAGAACTGAATTTTGTGGATTAAGTCCACATAAATTGGGTTCTATTAAAAAACCTTGGGATTCCAAAATTTGTGGTTTAGGTACTTTAAAACACTAATATTCTTCTTGGCATTTTTCTTGTGAAATTTCAATCCCATATAATCTCATTGGAACAACTAATTTCATTTTAGGAAAGCTGCCTCATTTACTGATGCTGGTGAAACCATAGATTCATTAAAATATATAGATTAACTTCTCCAAGTTTCTTAAACAGTTCTCTGCACGCATTCATATAGCGTTATGTGGCAGATATACAAGTGCTCTTTTCTGGAACAGATGGTTTAGACACAATTAATAAGGGGCCTTGAGTTATTTGCATATTCATTAGATAATATCAGTTATTCCTCAGCCAGAACAAAGAATAACACGAATGGCATTCATGTTTCCTCCCATTAACACATCATTAAAAGCAAAATGTCTGTGTTAAAAATGAGACAGATAGTGATCCTCGACTTTATAGCAACCTAGCATTATCCATTTGGGTTTTGAACATGATAATAAAAGCGTGTTGCCCTCATGTAATTTATTCCTGATTTTATAACAGAGAATAAATGAAGACATCTTCACACTGCATACGTCTGCCCTGTCTCTATGATTTTGCTTGCCACGTAGATGATTGCCAGGAAGTGTCAGGTCAGGAAAAATTAAATAAATTTTATTTTAATCTTTAAGAAGTCAGAAAACTAGAGGAAAAATTATTAACTAAAAAATATAAACTTGGTGATAGATACTGGAATGCTTTTTTTTTTTTTTTTTTTTTTTTTTTTTTTTGAGACGGAGTTTCACTCTTGTTGTCCAGGCTGGAGGAGTACAATGGCATGGTCTTGGCTCACTGCAAACTCTGCTTCCCGGGTTCAAGCGATTCTATTGCCACAGCCTCCCAAGTAGCTGGGATTACAGGTACCCGCAACCATGTCCAGCTAATTTTTGTATTTTTAGCAGAGATGGGGTTTCAACATGTTGGCCAGGCTGGTCTTGAACTCCTGACCTCAGGTGATCTGCCATCTCAGCCTCCCAAACTGCTGGGATTACAGGCATAGCCACCGCGCCTGGCCTGGAATGCATTTTTAAAAAGACTTTCTAATGACTGTGTTGTTGATAAATCCAGAAAAAGTTACTGATAAAACATCAAATCACAACTTAAAATGAAATAACACCAAAGATCACCTACTGAATTTTTAATCTGATTTTTAGGCTTAAAAATTTAAATAGAATTACTTGGCCTTTATGCTATGAATTATTTATGGTCACTTACTCTGTCATCAGGATACAAGAGTGACCGCAAAATTGTCAGAAATTGAAAATAAGTTATCTTTGTGTGAATTCAAAAAGTCAAATAAAGCTATTTCTTTACAAAGGCCCAGTTTCTTGGAGGATAAACAGAGGCACATGTGAGGGAACATACGAGGTTGCGGTACTTGATGACGTCACTGTCAGCACTGTGCTTTCACCGTGAGTGGCCAAGGCACCACTGCCTCCTAGAACTGCTGTCCCATATGGCCAACACTAGCCACGTGGCTATTTAAATTCCTATTTTAATTACAAGGAAATAAAAATAAACATGCAGTTTCTCAGCCACATCTCAGGCGATTGGCCACATTTCAAGTGTTCTAGAGCCACACGAGGCCAGTAGCTCCTCGAACAGACAGCTCAGGTGAGAACGCTCCCCTCACCCCAGAAAGTTCTACTGGACACCACTTTCCTAGGAGTTTCCTACTTAAGATGGAAAACAAAGGTCCAAGGATAACTGAAACTGACTTGCAGGCGGCAGCAAAAAGCAAATTACCACAAAAATAGACAGTTAGTTATTGTTATTAGGAGTAGTTGAAAGTAAAGTTAATTGAATGAAAGGAGACATGTATATTTGGGAGCAGTTTGGAATCATTTATGAGAGAATGTCAAAATGTAGACAATTTAAAAAACAAGGCATTCCATCTACTTTTCTATTCAATGTTTTTTTTTATTATTATACTTTAAGTTTTAGGGTACATGTGCACAACGTGCAGGTTTGTTACATATGTATACATGTGCCATGTTTGTGTGCTGCACCCATTAACTCGTCATTTAGCATTAGGTATATCTCCCAATGCTATCCCTCCCCACTCCCCCCACCCCACAACAGTCCCCGGTGTGTGATGTTCCCCTTCCTGTGTCCATGTGTTCTCATTGTTCATGGAATACTATGTAGCCATAAAAAAGGATGAGTTCATGTCCTTTGTAGGGACATGGATGAAGCTGGAAACCATCATTCTCAGCAAACTATTCAATGTTTTTAACATTTATTACATACATGTTAAATTACATAAATGTTGAAAACATTGAACATGAAGAGAGTTTTTTAGACCATTTCAAAAAAATATTTTGTACTCAACTGCTGTACTTTAGGTTTGAGAGATAAAAGAACATTTACTATATACAATCTGGGATTCATTCAACAAACATTTATTGAGCAACTTAGTTTACACCAAGATTCCCTAGCTGTAAGATTGCAAGATGCAAGACATAGTGCTCCAAAAGAGCTGCAGGCACACTTACCTGGAAGCAGGGCAATTAGAATAGGCCATGATGGGCCTGTATAAAGTGGCATGAGCACTGACACCCATGATTGAGTAATGGAGCAACGCAGAGGGAGAGTCCACTTTAGAGGAAAAGAAAACCTAGTGGGAATAACAGCATGAAGAAGAAAGTCCAAGAGACAAAGTTCAGGTTGGAGAAGTGTGGAGAGAAAGATAAAGACAAAAAGGTTTCCTGAATTCTTAGAACTACAGAGAGACCGTGACAAGAACAAAGGTACAATGTGATGACAACATGCAGAGGGTTTGACTGATCTGAAATGAGCAGAGTCCACTCCCAGGTGTCTTTGCAATGGACACTTACAATTTTCTAACGTCATTTTAAAGAAAAACCTCACAAGCACATGTGGGAATTGGCAATTGCAGGCGGAGTCATCCATGGCCCACTTGGTGCCCTTGGGAGAGGGCCTGAGCAGGAGGAGGGAGCGGGACTTATATGACAGAGCAAGAACTCCTGGAGGGGAAAGGGCTGAGTTTGCTATTGGAGGGTTAATGTGAGCTGAGATGGGAGGGTGCATCCTGCAGACCTGCTAACGGCAGTGCATCAGCCTAGGTGATGCATCATGCCCTGTGTAGCACTGAAGCCCTGGGAACCCAGCTCTGGAAAAAAAAAAAAAAAAAAAACCCTGGTCTAGTGCCCATTGGAAAAGCTGAGGAGCCTGAACTGCTCAGATCAAGACTGGCTTCTGCAGGGGCTCCTCTTCCTCTTTGACTCCTGCCAGAGAGAAGGAGAGAAGAGGCTGGTATGTATACTCTGAGAACTAACAGGAGTAGCTAACTCTACCAGAAGGTTGGGAAGGTTTCCTAAAGAAGGGAATAAGATGAGCTGTGTTTGGGAGAATTAACAGAAAAAAAAAAAAATCCAGTAACTACAGAGGTGGAAAGCAAAGAGAGAAGGCAAACTGACTGTATACCTAGAGCTGCCCACGGACCTCACCCAATCTCATTAGGAGTTCCTTAGGACACCTGCGAGGTTGGACCATGTGGGAGGACCCAGAACTTCAGCAATAGGAGTTCATTAAAAATAACCAGCCCAGGAGAATACACTAGTGTGGAGGGGACACATAGAGTGTGACAACTCAAAGCACGACCAACCTGAGACGCTTTCAACAAAACCAAAAATGAAAATGTTGGATTTACATATTCTCAGGCTTTCAGTTGATAACTGTAAAATGTCTATCCCTAATTTCTCTTCCAAGTTAAAATCCATAATTCTAGTTGCCTTGAAGGCAGTTTCTTGGATCTCCCATAAATTCATGTCTTCTGGAGTCTCCCTAAATTGTTTAAATCATACTCACCATCCTTATTTTCCACAGATCTAGATTTTCACCTGCAATGGGGATTAAATAGACTTTATCTCAGTTAACAGTGCTGACGGCATCACCCAAGACTGAATGCATCCTCATCTCCCATGTTCTTATCCATGGCATGGAACCGAACTAGTTGGTTCTGCCTCTGAGATCTCCTTTAATCTGACAGCTCCTGGTCCTCCTCTCTGCCTCAGCCTTGGTCAGGATGTGTACTATTTATTCAGTCTTAAAGTTTGTTTCCCAGCCTCCAGGTTCTTCTTATTCCTGTCAATTTGGGGAGGTGCCAATCCCTATGACATGTCAGCACTCAGAGCTCCTCATCCCACCACTGTAGACAGTTAACTTAATTGAGAAAGAAGGTATACTGAAATGATCTTTGAGTTCAAGAAATGGACATTTTTGAATAAACATACATTAAGAATATTTTTATTTATTCATGTATAAGTTACCAAAAGGCTAGGAAGCTTATCCTAGATAGGAAGCACGGTGCTGGACAGTATGGAGTCCAAATAAATAAGATGAAGTACCTGCTTCAAGATGAACACCACCACAATCTATATGCCATGACTTTCTCACAATAAACCTGAGTCAATTGTACACAGCATGACTACTAAGGTTGTTCAATAAAGAAAACTAAACTTTGCCTTTCTTAGGATGAACTTTAAATAGTAAAACACTCTGTTTCACAACATTTTTTAAAAACTGAAACCTTATTTATGTCTTGCTGATCTTAATTAGCCAAGGAAAATCCAAAAATTTCAACTCAGATCTGAAGATCTTAAATTAGAAGGAGTTTACTTACTTAAAAAGAGGTATGAGAAACAAAGTTAAATGAAATAGCTAAAATAATTCAGGGTAAAACACAAATTTCTGATACAGGTTTAATATTTAAATTTTCAAATACTTCTAACTAATGATCAATATTTGAAAATATGTGTCAAATATCCTATAATAAGTAAAAATCAGTAACGTTTTCAGCATTTTCAGTTACAGATATGTGATAGTGACTTATTTTTTAGTTATTAAGAATATAACAAATGTCAATAGACACATACATGCACATGCATGCAGGAGAGCATATACACATGTGCATGGGATGCTGGACAGCATGAGTGAAGGCGTCTTAGGAAAGGTAGTTCACCCACACTCTGGTGCTCTGTTCCCGTGCACAGCAGAAATTACTTAGGGAACTCCATTCTGGAAGTAACCTCTCCCTTTAAATCTGCTACTTTTCTCCTTTTTAAGGTGGAGCAGCACATCACTGGTCCAATTTTCATAATGTGCAAGAAACACCACTTTACCAAATGTTTTATCTCATTCCTGTCAAATGTTTTTAGCTCCTGGACCCTATAGGGTCTCTGCTTGCCACAAAGCAAGAGAGGCCAAACCTCGGACTCTGACAAACATCCTTCCTATTCTCTCCTAGTTGAAGGAACAGCCATCAGGAGAAATCAATTCAGTCTATATTCATAACCTGGCAAGGATGGCTACAACCCACATGGGCGTGCTTCTCACATATTCCCTATCAGGTCTGATGAGAAAATACTTTTAAAACCCCAGAACCCCTACAAGTAGGTCAAGAGGTTAAAATGGTTTGCTTCTTAAAACACACGCATACACACACACACCCTCGCAACCCTTTTCCCTAATACACTTACTGTTGAGTGTACCTCCACACACACAAAAATAACTTTTAGAGGTTGAAAAGTTGATTTTACTGGAAAACGTTATATTCAAATTTTCTTGGGCATCTTGTGTGATGATAAAAGGTACAAGTACAAAAATAGCTGAACATCAGAAAGAGTAACATGTTTTTAAGAGAAATGTCACATCTCGCTTATGTCAGAAAGAGAAAAATGTAGTAACATTTTTAGTGCCTGGTAGATAACCAACAAAGCACACACACACACACATACACACACACTCACACATGCACAAACACCATTTTTAAATTTAATTCTCACTATTACCCTATGACCTGGGGGTGTCATCTAAAACAAAAATGTTCAGCTTTATTTGCTCATAAAGATAAGCATCTGTCCTGTTTGCTGTGATTAATCAACTACAATGTATGAAGAATCTGAGATTCAGAAAAAAGTATATAAAAATGAAGGTTAGCTATTTAGTAAATAGTTGAGGCAGGACTTAACCATTCATAATAATAATAGTTATGCTGTTATTGAAATGAATGCATTATTTATGTTGTACTCATATATAAGTTCCTGGTAGAGATTTTCTTCTTTGAGGGAAATAGATTTTCTATAAATGGTGCCTTACAGAATATGGTGAAAGATTATGAAGAAAGCATGAAGAAATCTCTTGTACTTGATATATTACTAACATCAAAACCTGAGTCTTGACAGATGCTTCTGAAAATATCTTAGTACAGATACTACACAAGGTATGCAGGTGTGTCAGTAAGCACATTGTATCCATTTCTCAGTAGGATAAAACAATTTAAAGTGGGATATAAATTGACAGAACATAAAATAAATGTTTTTCAAGTACCCCATTTAGCTAGTTTACGGTTTTATGACAATTTAATCTATACTCAATAATTACTTACTGAGTATGTATTTTGCAACAGGCATTAAGGGGCCCACAAATCAATCAGAATCTCCCGTAGATTCTCCAGAAAAAGAGCAAAATACGTTTAAAACAAAAGTGTAATCTAAGACAATATGCAATGAGTTGTAAAAATACAAAATATTTTTAGAATTTGTGGAGTGATGACCAAAGTCACAGTTTAGCTAAATTTAAATAAGAACAAAGTTCAATAGGTAGGGAAAGTGGGGAGGAAGATACAGACAGAATAATTCATATGTACAATACTTTATTGATCAGACAGCACATGGTATAAGAAGCCTTTCATTCGACTGGAGCATAATGCGGGAAAGGAGTAAGAAACAAAAATATTAAGGATGGCTGGAGTCAGACCCAGGAAGGCAAATGAGTTTCATGTTATTTTGGTACGCCAAGAGAAGGCATCGAATGTTCATCTGCAGAAGAGTTTTGTGTTTGGCCTAATGGACAGGAAGGTAGTCTAACTCACGGCTTCCAAGCAGGACCCCATGGCTCGCTCTTGCAGATGGGGCACAGATGTGCCATGAGATGCTCACCAGTCCACACCTGTCTAGCAGCTTCCATGGCCAGCAGCCGCATCCCAGGTGCTTTAGAGGCTGGTTCCGGAGCGGGAGCAAGGGGTTTGTACATATGATCCCTGCTGGCCTAGAGCTCAGTGGCTGACATGGAGCACTGGGGACTCAACCACAACACTCTGACCTTATCTAGGGAAGTGCTACCAGGCAGCCGCAGAGCACACTGCTGCTTGCTGTGGCAAAGGGAACCATGTAGCAGCCATGCAGCTATTCTTGAGGTACCCAAAGTGGGACCGACACTTTACTTAGCGTGCAGTTGCTCAGCTGTGCCAGTGCAGGGGGGCCACAAGGGGGATCCCGTCAGGCGCAGCCCCAAGCAGTGGTCATGATGTGCTATCTTCATATTCAGCATCTGATGCTTCCCCCTGCAGCCACATGTTCTTTAGGTGGTGCCTAAGCCAGCAGCAGGACGGCCACTCCACAAATGCACGCATGTTCTGTAAATAAGAGCTTTCACGCTATTTTGAATTAAACTGAGGTGACTAACACGGGAACAGAAAACCACATACCACCTGTTCTCACTTATAAGTGAAAGCTAAACATCGAGTACACATAGACACAAAGAAGAGAACAAGAGACCCTTGAGCCTCCTTGAGGGCGAGGGTAGGAGGAGAGTGAGAATGGAAAAATGCCCTATCGAGTACCATACTTATTACCTGGGTACCCCCAACCCCAGCGACACACAATTTCCCCAAATAACAAACCTGTACATGTACCCCTGAACCTAAAATAAAAGTTTAAAAAATATATTAAAAATATGGACTATGCATTAAATTATATTAAGGAATTATGATAAACATTGCTGGTTGTATAATGATATTATGCACATGTAAAAAATGTCCTAATTTTGTTGAGATGGATATTAAAGTGTTGAAGGGTGAAAAAAGTTTGATTACATTTAAAATCTATTTGCAATACTACCAAGAAAATTGAACATTACGTTTGTCCATTAAAATGAATTATTGCAAAATTAGAATTGTTGCAAACTTTTTTTTAGGTTTCCGATTTTATTTTATTCATTTTATTTTTATTTTATTTTATTTTATTTTATTTTATTTTATTTTATTTTATTTTATTTGAGATGGAGTCTCACTCTGTCACCCAGGCTGGAGTGCAGTGACACGATCTCAGCTCACTGCAGCCTACCCCTCCAGGGCTTAAGCGATTCTCCTGTTTCAGCCTCCCGAGAAGCAGGGATCACAGGCATGCGCCACCATGCCCGGATAGTTTTTGTATTTTTAGTAGAGACGGAGTTTCGCCATGTTGGCCAGACTGGTCTCGAACTCCTGACCTCAGGTGAGCCACCCGCCTCGTCCTCCCCAAGTGCTGGGATTACAGGTGTGAGCCACCGTGCCTGGCCTCAATTTTATTTTTATATCCACCTTACGTGAACAAATCTTCACATCAATGTGACCCTCAAGAATTTGAAGAGATCTTAAATCTAATCCAATTTTTTTCACCCCTCAACACTTTAATATGCAGCTCAACAATATTTGAACATTTTGTACATGTGCATAATATCGTTATACAACTAGCAATATTTATCATGTTCCTTAATATTATGCAGTTTGTCAGGAATTGGATGTTGCTATTTCAAACATAAAATCTATTCTGTCATTGAAGTATGTTAAAAAAAAAAAAACTGATACAAAATATTATGTTCCTGGAAACAAGCTTAAATTTCTCACAAAAAGTTTTGAGATATCTTTATTTGGCAGTTTTATAAAATTCTGGCATTTAAATGGCTTTTTCCTATACTTAAGTATAAGGAATTTTTCCAGCTACTGTCAACACCCATCCCTAGAAAAGGCAATCACCTTTAAAGAAGTAATCAATACTGGTTGGCCATGCTCATTCTTTTGAATGTAGCTGAGAAAAAATGCTATGAATAGCAATTTTATGATCTATTTTAGAATGAATGTGCTTCTTCAAAAAAAAGTAGTTCAAATCTATTTTATCAAATCATATTATGAAACATTCATTCTAATTATAGTCAATCCTCATCTTACTTCATTGCATAAAATGTTTAGTATATTCTACCTCCTATTAAAAAATAAAATCACATTCTAGGTCATGGACCAATTAAGCTTTTAGTAACTTTTCTTTTTCTTTTACATGGCATACATGAGAAAAGTTTGATCATGTTGTTTCACGAAATCTGTGAACTAATTTGTGAAATTTGAAAATTTAATCTCACATTAAACAGTTTCTAAAACATGAACACAATTATTCCATATACATGCACACATGCATGTATACATATTTACCAAAGAATATCATGTATTTCTACTATTCTTTTCACTTTATTAACAATTTTAAATTGTAATCATACATTACATTGCCCAATTTAAAAAAGCAAAGACTAACTGAATATAAATTTATTTTTGTTTTTAGAGGTTATTTAAAACATAAATCAATATCTGGAAAATTTATTGATTTTTTTGTATTTTATTCTAACAAGTTGCATTAAGTAATATGTACTAAAATATTTACTTTAATTGAAAAATGGGAATCAGACTTTTATAATAGAAAATAAAACATCTCACTGATTGGTATTAAAATGAAAATGAACTTTATATAGTAGGTTATATAGAAGACAGCCTTAACTAATTGAAATAACAGGAACAGCACATGACAACATTTTATTAAACATTATTATATTCAAACAGATTGTGAGATTAACATTTTATTGTTTACTGTTGACAAACCAACTCCAATTTCAGTGGCTTAAAACAACACTCATCTGTTGGTCCTCACAAGTTGACTGGTGAACTGGATACTTTTGCTGACCTGAGCTGGGGCAGGCTATGTTGTCTATGCTTGCTGACAGGTCTCCGTTCAGTCCAGCTGGCTGATCCTGGCTGGCCCTGAGAGGGTTACCCACCTGCTCCGTGGCAAATCAGCAGGCTGCCATGTTATTGGCTATGATAGGGCTGTGTGTCTCCTCACCCAGCAGGCTAGCCTAGGCTTCAGGCACATGTCAAGTGGGCTCCCAGGATAGCAATGAGAGTGTGCCCCCATGTAAAGAACATTTCAGGTATCTCTTATGTTGCATTTGTGATTGTCCTGTTGGCCAAAGCGGGTCACGTGCCAAACCCAGGGAGGGTTTACAGGCTGTGATGACCCTAAGACTTAGACACAAGAGCTATAGAAAAATCGAGAACCTCACTACAGCAGTCACCAGGATGATGTTTTCATATTTGCAACTCTGTCATAGAATTTTGGAGTAAATAAGTTTTTTTTCCCATCTTTTCATGTGAATATATACATATATATATATTTTAAATATGTTATAATAATATATATTTAAAATTCTATGTTATTATAATATAAAATATAATATATATTATATTATAATTACTATTACATTAATATAATATATGTAATATATAATATATTATATTATAATTACTATTATACTAATGTAATATTTGTAATATATGATAATGTATTATATATTATATAATATATGTAATGTATTATATATTATATAATATATGTAATGTATTATATATTTTATAATATATAATGCATTGTTATATTATATGTTATATAATATATATAAAATAACATATAATATATAATTTATATAAATAAAATATATATAATATAACATAATATATAATGCACTATATATTATATAACATATAATATAAAATACATTATATTATATATTATATAATATAAAATACATAATATAAAATACATTATATTACATATTAGATAATATAAAAGACACTATATATTATATAATATATAATATAATGTATTTTATATCATATAATATATAATGTATTTTATATCATATAATAGAACATGATGTATTTTATATCATATAATATAGAGTATGATGTATTTTATATCATATAATATAGAGTATGATGTATTTTATATCATATAATATAGAGTATGATGTATTTTATATCATATAATATAGAGTATGATGTATTTTATATCATATAATATAGAGTATGATGTATTTTATATCATATAATATAGAGTATGATGTATTTTATATCATATAATATAGAGTATGATGTATTTTATATCATATAATATAGAGTATGATGTATTTTATATCATATAATATAGAGTATGATGTATTTTATATCATATAATATAGAATATATAATGTATTTTATATCATATAATATAGAATATATAATGTATTTTATATCATATAATATAGAATATATAATGTATTTTATATCATATAATATAGAATATATAATGTATTTTATATCATATAATATAGAATATATAATGTATTTTATATCATATAATATAGAATATATAATGTATTTTATATCATATAATATAGAATATATAATGTATTTTATATCATATAATATAGAATATATAATGTATTTTATATCATATAATATAGAATATATAATGTATTTTATATCATATAATATATAATATAATAATGTATTTTATATCATATAATATATAATAATGTATTGTATATCATATAATATATAATAAAATAATGTATTGTATATCATATAATATATAATATAATAATGTATTGTATATCATATAATATATAATATAATAATGTATTGTATATCATATAATGTATAATATAATGTATTGTATATCACATAATGTATAATATAATAATGTATTGTATATCACATAATGTATAATATAATAATGTATTTTATATCATATAATGTATAATATAATAATGTATTTTATATCATATAATGTATAATATAATAATGTATTTTATATTATATAATATGTATTTAAATGTATTATATTAATATATTAATATATTGATTTATATTAATATTAATATATTAATTTATATCATATTATATTTCAAATATATTCTTATATATGTTTGAAATATATATAATATATATTCCTTTCACCTTTTGCTTTATTTATATTAATTGTACATATTTAATATAACTACATAATTACCTATATACATTATGTATATATTTATATAATATATATTCATATATTATATATTTATTTAATATTTATGTAATTATATTTCATATAATTACATAATTACATATATACATCATATATACACATATTACAGAATTATATAATTTAATTACATAATATAATTGTACATAATTAATATAATATATATGTAATAATATATTATATTATATAGTTAAATATACATTATTATATTAATATATTAATTTATAATAATATATTAATTTATATGTAATATTTTATATATTATTATATATATTTTAAATATATATATTATAATATATATATTTATTTCACCTTTTACTTTGTTTATATTAATTTTACATATTTTCAGGACACAGTTGATATTTTGATACCTGTATAAAATCTGTAGTGATCAAACCAGGGTAATTGGGATATATATCACCTCCAACATTTGTCAGGTATGTTTAGCTAAAAACAGTAATAATAGTAACAGTGTTTGATTAATCTTGGGAGAAACTAAAAACAGCATACCTTTCAGATTTTGAAAGCATAAGGAACTTTATTAATGGATGATACGTCTTTTCACTAAGTCATAGTCAGGTGGTATTCTTTGTTTTCATAAACTTAGTATATAATCTTATGCAGTTGATTGCTGATTTACAACATATAGTACAAGTTTTGATAACACAATATGTCATAATTAAACAGAATTCTTAGAAGAGAGTAACGTTATTATCATAAGCCCCTCACTACTCCATCTACTTGTTTGTAAGAGCACTTGTCTTATATCTATAAAAATTAAAAGTATTGGATAGAATTTATCTGAAGCCTGATATTATTTTGACAAAAAGTCTAGCTCATCTCATTAAGTGATCATTTTCCAATGAAATTTTCCCATTTGTTACATACTTGCCAAAGTACTAATTTATTTATATGTATTTATCTGTTTATTAATTGTGTATTAATGATAATTTTAATAAAACTTTGTTTTAAAGATAAGTATTGTTACTTAGCATCTTATGGTTACAGGAAATAATTTTTTAAATTTCTGTATGTGGTAGCATGTGTGTGGTGTGCTTTCATCATGTGGTAACTCATTATTTTCACACACAAGCATATTTTAACTGAGTAAGAAATTTGGGAGGAGAAGTAGAATTGAAATACTAGGTCAAGGAAACGAAATGATTTAAGATTTCTCACTGTTAAAGAGGAACATGTTCATATACACATGTGCACATACAGGAATACATATATGTGTATGAATGTATATGTAACACTTAACTGTATAGTTCAACACATTACTAAGCATGCTTTTTTTTGGGAGACAGTTTTGCTCTGTCACCCAGGCTGGAGTGCAGTGGTGCGATCTCGGCTGACTGCAACCTCTGCCTCCCAGGTTCAAGCGATTCTCCTGCCTCAGCCTCCTGAGTAGCTGGGATTACAGGCGCCCGCCACCACTGCCAGCTAATTTTTTGTATTTTTAGTAGTGACGAGGTTTCACCATGTTGGCCAGGCTGGTCTCGAACTCCTGACCTCAAGTAATCCACCTGCCTCAGCCTCCCAAAGTGCTGGGATTACAGGTGTGAGCCACCGCACCCGGCCTGATCATGCATTTTTAAATGCCTTAAAGTGAACATAAATGTGCTACATTTAGAGGTCATTGGATGTATTAAAAAGAGTTTCATATCAATTTTATTATTATATTACTAGTTCCAATATGCCAGAAATGATACATTTTGTAGGTATTTAAAATTATGGTGAATAATTTTTAGAGATCAACTTAAAATGTCTGATGGGATACATGATTGCTTTTAGCACTGAGACAGGAAATGAGTTTGAAATTGGAGAAAATTAGCTGACAGGAAATGATCTGCCCGGTAAGTCTGTGAAAAGGCCCCCGAGACTGTTTCTCCAGCCAGCCTCTCTGCAGGACAAAGATGTCCCATCAGCGGCTGTGACTGTCTGTGGGGACACCACTCCGCTACTAGTGTGTTGTGCCTGTGAGCCCACTGTGAGCACCCCTCTAATGCACATTCTCCAATCAAGATGCCCCTGGCAAAAAGCTGATAGCTGAGTCTCCAGCTACCTGACTCTATTAACTGTCTTTTTATTCATTACACAATATGGAAGAAAAGAGGAGCATCATTTATTGAAATCCCACGAATCCGAAAAGTTAGCAAAAACATTATTCGAAAAATTTGTATTTCCACTGTACCCTACTCTCAAAGATAACTTCAGGAAAAATAGGAAAGACTTCAGGGAAAATGAATGAATTTTATGTATTTTATCATGCAAAGTTAATAATCTGATAATACAGAGCAAAGGAAAATGACCTTTCATTTGAAGTCACATTATAAAACCTCTGGTTCTCATTTGAATATTATATTAATTCACCAACTAATTACTACTAATTAATTCAAGAAATAATTACTACTATCATAGATCATAGATCAAGTACCATGCCCAAGTGACATGGTGAATAAAACATGGTTTCTGCTTTCAAAATTGCTACAATGTAATAAATGAAGACAAATGTAAAAACAATATAATGAATTACATTTGTGTTATAAAAACAATAAACATAGTAATGTAGAGAACAAAGGAGAGGGTGAAGAATTTGCCTGCATAAAGGGCAACATCAGAGAACTGGGTGGGGGGAGAAATGGAGACATGTTGGCCAAAGGAGACAAACTTTCAGCTATCAGATGAACAGGTGTTGGAGGTTTAAAGTATCGCATGAGTGGTTATGGATGAGGTTATTAATTTCATTGTGTATTCAGTGTATACATATAGGAGATCAATTACAATGTAAATCAATTACATTATATACCTTGAAGATATCCGATCTTTATTTGATAATTAAGTATTTTAAAAAATAAAAGAAAAAAACGTGAACACTGAGACATTCTCAGAATCAGAATGATTTCTTGGAAATTAAAACATCATAGCAAAACAAAAATTCAACACATTAAAAAAATAGCCAATTAATTCCATGGAAAGCAAAGAATAATACAGGAAAGAAAATGTTGTCTCAGAACATCACTTGTCAGCAGTGAACATTTCCTACTTAGTTACCATAGGATAAATAATGAGTATTGATGAGACTAAAAAATGTGATAAGAAGTATTAGGAGAGTAAAGAGAGGGGAATGGGGTGTGAGTGGTGTACAAGTCAATGCATCAAGAAATATCACAAAAGGAATATTATTGAGAAATGTAAAGGTATCTACAAGGAGAACTTTAAAAGTGAAAGTCAGGAAGAGCATAATCTATAAAGTCCAGCTTTTTTTTTTTTTTGAGACAGGATCCAGCTCTGTGCCCCAGGCTGGAGTGCAGTGGTGTGAAAATGGCTTGCTGCAGCCTCCACCTCCCAGGATCAGGAGATCCTCTCACCTCAGCCTCACAAGTTCAGATTTTCCTTTCAATTGTTAAATGTTGATAATATATTAGAAAGGAAGAAGAGAGAAAGAATGAAATTTTTTAAACCACTGAAATGGTGCCTCAAGGTTTTTATTCCAAAGAAATCAAAGAAAAGGGAGCTTGCTCTATCTCTCTATTTCTCTATTTTTCTCTCACTCTCTCTCTTTTCATGCAGCACCCATTTTCCATGACAAATACTTCTTCACTTGGCAATAAATTGTATTGGCAGTTTCGTGAAGTGGTGTGAAGCCAAGGTAAGGGCAGCTGTGGCTCCCTATTTAGAGCAAAAACTCAAAGATGCTGCCTCAGGCTTACAGACTCTGTTAAAAGCTCTATAAAATGCATTATGTTTTGTATCTTGAATAATGAATTCCTAATGGGATTTGTGGCATTTGTAAAAGGTTTTAGCAAATTTTGTGAAATTAATATCTAGTCTTGCAACAGAAAAACTATCAGAAGGAAATTGAGTTAAAGAAATTACATAAATAACAAGGAGAAATACAGAGAAACATATCATTAATCATTTGAATGAAAATTCCAGGTTTTATAGTTATAGGAAGTGACAAATATTTCCAGTGATTTAGTAGAAAAGAGTAGCAAAATAATATAAAGCTATGGAAACAGATATAAAATCACTTGAAAAAAGGTTTAAAGTGCTATGTAAATGTTAAATTTTTTATTATAAAGCATTACAATGACACAAAGAAAACTAAGATGGCTTACTTATTTATACCTGTGTCAAAGACTGTTTCTTGTTTGTTCAATATCCATTTTCACCTCTTTTCTTACTAACATAAGATTTTTTTTTGGTGTAGCTATACATCCATCATAAAACAGACAGACAGCTATAGAGAGATTGTCCCCCAACATAGCTCCTGCCAATCATGTGGGGGTGGAGTCCCTGGCTGGAGCTGCAGAGAAAACACTAAGTGCAGTCTGACCCAACTGGTAGGTGCTTTTTGACCTGCCTGTTCTCTTTTTTTGTTGTCCAGAAGTAGGTACGATGCTGCATATGGGTGTAACTACAAGGCAGGGAGTAAAGACCAAGAAATGGCAGAAGAATCAGCCCTTTCGTTTTTGAACCCCTGGACAAACCTGCAGAATCCTCTTTGCCATCGTCAGATTCAAGCCATCAGTACCATTAGTTTCTTAAAGCCATCACGTCTGGATTCTCTGATATTTTCACGTGAATTCAATATCTAGCTGACACAATAGCCCACATTGTGAGGAAAAGAGAGAGACAAATTCACGAAAACAAGTGCGGGAATCGTGAAACATAAATATAAATGAGGAGAGTGAAGTGCTAGAAGAATAAGGTCAGGGAAGAGACAAAGCTGGGGTAATTTGGCACATGGAAAGTAATGGCATAAGGTACTTCGTAATAGTTAAAAATGAGCCACACCAATTCGGCTCTGTGCTGACAACCAAAAGTAAAATTCAAGATTAATTAAGACATTCATAGAATCAATAATGTAAGAATATATTAGCTGTTTATGAAAAGTGCTACGTTTTTTAGATTTTATGATGAGAAGATAATTTATCTTACTAGTCTCTATAAAATGGACACTTTGCAATACTTAAGAAAGTTCTAAACAATATCCTTCAGAACAAAAACATTAGCACATTTCATGCAGCTACTGTTTATAGCATGTGCCAACAGAAGCCCATAGGAAAAAAAAACGAATTTTTCAAGAGTGCAGACCTAGCCGGACAAGGTGGCTCAGGCCTGTAATCCCAGCACTTTGGGAAGTCGAGGCGGGAGGATCATGAGGTCAAGAGATCAAGACCATCCTGGCCAACATGGTGAAACCCCATCTCTACTAAATATACAAAAATTAGCTGGGTGTGGTGGTGTGCTCCTGTAGTCCCAGCTGCTCAGGAGGCTGAGGCAGGAGAATCACTTGAACCCAGGAGGCCGAGGTTGCAGTGAGCCGAGATCATGCCACTGCCCTCCAGTCTGGCGACAGAGCGAGACTCCATCTCAAAAAAAAAAAAAAAAAAAAAAAGAATGCAGACCCCCAGTGACTGCTAGTCAAAGACAGGAAACACAAGAGTCCTGCTGTCCACAATTGTGGCGAGCTTGGGGGTCTCCGGTGAGCAGACTGAATTTTTATGTCTTGCCTGTCTCCCTCTAGAATAGAAGCACCACAAAAAGCAAGGATTTTGACTTTTTAAAAAATTGCTCTCTCTCTTAGACCTGAGAACAGTGCTGTCAGTCAGTACCAGTCACACAGTAGGTGCTTAATACATGTTTTCAAACTAATGAATATTGCTTTCTATGAGTCTGGAAGTCAGAGACAGCGACAGCACAACCCAGACAACATCCTCCAGCAGGCTTCAAACTGTCAAGCATCCAGAGAGAAAGTGATCACACTCCTGTGAAGATCATCAGCCCAAGTACTCAGTCTTGGTGTAATACGGTCAATAGCAAAGGAGGGGGTGTGGCAGGGAGGTTACAAAACATGGCACCAGAATCACATTGGTATTTTTCAAAGAAGGTATACCCTTGAACATAAGGAGGGAGTCAATCTTGTTGACAAATGATAATTAAGAAATTTTGAATAAAACTTAAAGTATAATAATAATAAATAAAAAAAGAAATTTTGAATATTCATAAGGTTGCAAAGATTGAAATTGTTCCATATTTAATCATTTCTTCATCCATAGTTTTCCCTTCTCTCTCCTTCCCTCTTCTATTTTTATTACTTTTTCCTCCTTTCTACCTCTTTCCCTTCTTTTCTATAAACACTTACTATCTCTTTTATGCCAGAATACATTAAGCCTTACTCTCTCAAATCCCATAGTCTCTTAGAAAGTGGCATGCATAATGACCATGCTAAAATGGCACTAAGAGAAAAGTGTCAGAGTGTTTATGTGAAAAAGAAGCTGTCCTGGCCCAGACAGTCTGCAAATGGCTTCTAGAGAAGGAAGAAACTGAACTGGACCTTCCTGCTTCCCGCTGTTTTTCTTTGTTTTTGTTTTTGTTTGTTTTCTGTTTTTGAGTCAGAGTCTTGCTCTGTCGCCCAGGCTGGAGTGCAGTAGCAGGATCTCAGCTCACTGCAACCTCTGCCTCCCCGGTTCAGGCGATTCTCCTGCCTCAGCCTCCTGAATATCTGGGATTACAGGCACTGCCACCACGCCTAGCTTATTTTTGTATTTTTAGTAGAGACAGGGTTTTGCCATGTTGGCCAGGCTGGTCTTGAACTCCTGGCCTCAAGTGATCTGCCCACCGTGGCCTCCCAAAGTGTTAGGACTACAGGCATGAGCCCCCACACCTGGCTTTTTGTGTTTTTTTCCCCAAGTTTTTCCTGTTCCCTGCCCCATTTTCCCCAGTACATGTCCCTGTTCTGTGCCAATGACAAGAGTATAACAGCCTGAACAGAATGGAGTGAAGGAATTTAGATATAACAAGGACAGAGTCTGGAGACAGCAAGGGAGGGGCAGAAGCTAAACTCTGGCTTGAGCCACATCAGGCCACCCTAAATGTGATGGTTAATATTGAGTGCCAGCTTGACTGGATAGTAGGATGCAAAGTATTGTTCCTGGGTGTGTCTGTGAGGGTCTTGCCAAAGGAGATGAACATTTGAGTCAGTGGACTGGGAGAGGCAGACCCACCCTCAATCTGGGTGGGCACCATCTAATCAGTTGCCAGCACGGCTAGAATAAATCAGGCAGAAGTTGGAAAGAGCAGACGTACTGAGTCTTCTGGTCTTCATCTTTCTCCCGTGCTGGATGCTTCCTGCCCTTGAACATCAGACTCCGAGTTCTTCAGCTTTTGGACTCTTAGACTTGGAGGTGGCCTATTGTGGGACTTTATTTTGTGATCAAGTGAGTCAATTCTCCTTAATAAACTCCTATATACATATATATAAGATATACATATATATAATATATACATATATATAAGATATACATATATATAATATATACATATATATGATATACATATATATAAAATATACATATATATAAAATATACATATATAATATATACATATATATAAAATATACATATATAATATATACATATATATAAAATATACATATAATATATACATATATATAAAATATACATATATAATATATACATATATATAAAATATACATATATAAAATATACATATAATATATACATATATATAAAATATACATATATAATATACATATTTTATACATATGCATATTATATAATATATATTATATATACATATATACACATATATATACATATATATACATATATATATATATATATATAAATCTTATTAGTTCTGTCCCTCTAGAGAACCCTGACTAATACACTAGAGAAGCAGGGTAAAGGCTTCATGAGGCATAGACACAGGCACACAGGCAGGAACCCAGGTCATGCTGACAGAGCCGTTGCTTGAACAAAACTTTTTTTTTTTTTTTTTTTTTGAGACAGAGTTTTGCTCTTGTTGCCCAGGCTGGAGTGCAACGGTGCGATCTCAGCTCACCGCAACCTCCACCTCCTGGATTCAAGCGATTCTCCTGCCTCAGCCTCCCGAGTAGCTGGAACTAAACTCTGAAAAGTTTGGCTGCTTTTTGTACAATTTGTATTCCCAAATCAATGGTTAGTCCTTGCCTCTAAAATTAGTTGTACTTAAAAGTAAACTAACTTGTACTGTGATATTCGAGTGTTTGAAGTTGGAAAAAAATAAGCATCAAATTATAGAGATGTCTAATAGATGCCAGCATAGGTTAATTTTTTCAAAGCACTCTATCCCATTGGCTCCATTCTTGTTTCCTGGGGCTCCGTTCATCAAAAAATAAAGAGGAGATGAAGTGATTCTTCATGTTTTTTCAAGGTGTAAAGTCTGTCATTCTATGGTTTGAGCCAGGAGCGTGGATGCGATGAGCCCCACTCTTTTCCTTTATTGGCAGGACCCAGGGTGGATTATGACAAAAGATGCCATTTCTGGGCAGCTTAGGTAGAACACATTGTCTAGAAAGGCAGCACAGGGACGCAGGCAGGAAACTCATGATGAAGAGAATTGTCAAAGTCTCAGCCACAAGGTCAAAGTTGTACTAAAAACTAAAAGAAAGGGCACACTGAGCAGGTGCTGGCAGCTCAATTGGGTCAGATTCTAGTAAGGGATGTTACACCAGCAAAAGACAGCAACCCAGGAGGAGGCGTGGGGAAAGAACTGAGATTTACTACACACCTCCGTGCACCAAGGCGATGCACTCTTGAGCTTGCGGGTGATTTTTACTGGATCAACTTTATTTCTCTTCTGCAAGCACCAAATCAGAGCAGTTTTATCCTGGTCCTCGCTTACCCTAAGTATCTCAGTCTCATAAGGACAAAGGCTATGTCTTCTTTTGTTCAGGAGTTTTCTGAATGTTCTCCTGGAGAAGTGATTATCTCCCTCTAATTAGCTAAATGGGGGATAGGAGTGCCAATTCCTGAAATAGGAATTACAAGAGAAGGAGAGAAATTATAAATTGAAAAAAAAATGTGATTTCTATTTTGGGATTTTTGATGTGGTTATGGCTGTAAAACATTCACATTTGGTTATGGTTGTGGACATTTTTAGGGGCAAGTGTATATACGGACCAGTATTCTTATGCACATAGATGGAAAATCCATTTAATAGGCATAGATGAGACCATAGATTAGGAGACAAGAAATGAGAAGCAAAAATAAAAAAAAGCAGAGAGCTAAAAATGGAATTCCATATTTAAACAAAAAAGTCAGTATAAAGAGGACCCAGTGCAGGTAACACATAAAGCTGTAAAACAGTTAATGTTTATTATTCCTTCTTAGAGACTTCTGAACGGTGTCATGTTTCCATCAGTGACTCAATCAGTTGGCAAATTATGTCATGAAGGCATGTTGACTTAAGATAAACATTCTTCTCCAGTGGATGAGTAGATCACCAGAGGATAAGAATAACAGAGGTTCTGTGAGTAGATCAGTACACAAGAAATAGCAGATTTCTGAAACTCCTTTTTACAGTGTTGTTTTATTTTTAATTGGCAAATAATAGTTACATGTATTTATGGGGTACAATGTGATGTTTCAACACATGTGTACATGATCCCGCAATCTCACTGAAGGAATTGAAATTAATATGCCAAAGGGATGTCTGCACCCCAATGTTTATTGCAGCATTATTCACAATAGTCAGGATATGGAAACAACCTAAGTGTCCATCAATGGATGAATGGATTTTAAAACATGGTATATATACACCGTGGAATACTACTCAGCCTTAGAAACAAACAAACAAACAAAAAACAGAAAATTCTGTAATTTGCAATAACATGGATGGCCCTACAGGACATTAAGGTTTTAGAAACACTTAAATGTGATCTAAAGGATTTATAGGCAACAAGACCCAAGAGGTCTTTTGTACAGAGAAATATTAGGAATTATGTGTTTAAGAAACACAAAGTATGAAGAATGGATTGGATTTCAGAGAGTAAGGGGCTTAATGATCAGTTACAGTATCATCACAAGAGACCAAGTAAAAAAAATAATTAGACTTTGAACCAAGGCAATGAGCAAAAATACAATAATTGATTCAAGATTGACCTGTAAAACCAACTGAACTTAGCACTAATTGAATGAGAGTGTACAATTTAAAGATGACAGTATTTTTAAGTCTATGTGTTTGAAATCAAAAGTGGAATAAATTTAACAGGAAACATCTTGTATCTGATCATAAACATAGGCTAGGTTTGAGACATCAATGGAATGTCAACTTGGAGCTTTTCTTTAGACATTAAGAAATGTCTCCATGTGCAAAGGAAGCTGGCACTGAATACAGTGCCTGCAATTTAATTAGAACGTCTATTACCCAGTGGGTGAAGGAAATAATTGTGCAACAAATGATCAAATGGAGAGACGAAGAAGACTGATCTACAATCATGAGGGGGAGGAAAAGTGATAGAACTGAGAAAGCTAACAGGAACCAGAAACTGCTAATCAAGGAGGAGTCCCAGACCCTTCAATAAGTAATCTTGGGGACACTTTACCAAGAAACTGTATTACACTTTCTCCTCCTCGCCTTGTTTTCTCTCTCTCCCCCTCCCATCACCACCTCTCATTTCCTCCTCCAATAGGCATTCTATTTAGACAATTGCATTTTTTATTAATATGTCTTCTTCTACTCTTTCACTGTTTTGTAGAAATACCTAATTAAGAATGGTAATAAGGTTCCTATAAATTGTGTATTTAAAATTATTTGTTATTTGCCAGTTAGACTTGGTTATTTTAGGAATCACTAAGAAACTTTTTAAAAATATATATACTGGGTAATTTTAGAACTTTGTCTTTGCCTCTCAATATTTTTTTCTGACACGATAAAGACTGCTTAATCCAATTAGGACTAACATTTCTGCTATTTAATTAATGTGCATTCATTTGGTAAGCTTGAGGCTTACTCAGCACTCTCTTTTGAGGCTTCTTTCTCTGTACTGACACAGTGTTAGATGCTTCATATGTATTTTTTCCTCTCTCTTACTATTCCCATTTGACAAATGTGAAAATTGAGACTGACTTGGCTCTAACACAAGCATGTATAATTATATAACAATACCTCTTTTCTCCTAAGCATGCTAACATTACTGTTTCCTAAATGTATATTGATTGGTCATGGTCCTTAGCAGCCCACCTATAGAAGACACTGTAGCTGGTTATGAAGGAAAGGAACTATTGACAGATATGCAGAACTCACAGAAACTTCATGAGCGCTGATAAGACAGAATATAGGTCAAATTTCAAGAAACAAGTCCCAAAACTTTACCCCAGAATGGATTTGACAAGAGGGCCGCAGCCTCCTGAGCAGGAAGCACAGAACTGAGGCATCACCACCCAAGTGCAGCTTCAGAACTCGTATTAGTCTATTCTCACACTGGTATAAAGAACTACCTGAGACTGAGTAGTTAATAAAGAAAAGAGGTTTAACAGTTCCGCAGGCTGTACAGGAAGCATGACTGGGAGGCCTTAGGAAACTTACAATCATGGAGAAAGGCAAAGGGGAAGCAGGTACGTCTTCACGTGGTGGAATAGGAGAGAGGGCAAAGGGGGAAGTGTACACTCTTTCAGACAAACAGGTCTCATGAGACCTCACTCACTGTCATAAGAACAGCAAGGCGGATATCTGCCTGGTGATCCAGTCACCTCCCACCACACCCCTTCTCCAACACTGAAGAACATAATTCAACATGACATTTGGGTGGGGACACACAGCCAAACCTTATCAGAACTGATTGCCTTTGTTGTCATGCTGTCATTTCAGCCAACAAAATTCTTGCATTTGGCCTCTTTTCCCATATAAATCATTTGAAATCAAGGTCTTACACAGGTGTATTTTTTTGGGGGGCGTGGGGGGAATTCCTAAATCACAATGCCTGTATCCTAGAAGCAAGATAAAATGGTAGTTTTAGGATTTTTTGGTTGTTATCCTTGTTTTGATTTTTGATTCTCCATTGTGAAGGTGAGATTTTCACTGTCAGTTACTGTTAGAATATAGCAACAAGGTATGTGTTAGCCGCAAATGGAATATCTTCACTATACACACAAAACAACAGAAGCAGGAGGATATCACATCATCCTACTAAGAGATTACACCAGGGCTGTTCTAGTCTGGGTGCAGATACTGTCTGAATTCTTCCTAAGTAAACTATCAGGACCTTTCTCTAGGCTAGAGGGGGTTCTATCAGGTTTCTAGGAGCAAGTAAACACCTGATGAATTCTGAACTCATGACAGAAGTGCAATCCAAGCAAAAGTCTTCAAAGCCAAGCTGAGAGAAGCCAGATCCAAATACCAAGTCAAAAAGAGCAGCAGTGGGTCCCAACTAGGAGCAGTGGAGTCAGGATAGACGTGGCTGGACAGAGTGAAAGCACACTCAGAACCAGCTCAGAGGCCAGCCAGGCAGCACTCATCTGACAACTGTGGGTGCTAGCGATGGCTCTGCAGTGGCCTGGAGTGCAATGCAGCCAAAGGTGAGTGGCGTCAAGACTCAAGCATGAAGTCTACAGCTGGGTGAGTACTCGAGAGAGGAACAGAGTACTTTGGGCTTCCAGATCAATGTTCCAAGCTCCACATCTTAGGTTAACAATTTAGCTGCAGTCCTCCCCTCTCACAGTGTTGTTGAAAAATGAATCCTAACAATGTTTAAGTCAATACTTTAGGCTGGTCATGTCACGATGTGCTTCAATGTTTTCATTGTCCTTCTTTTTGTGAAGGAGGACTTCTTGTGTTCTCATTCATTTGTTCTGAGCTTTTACCTTTAAACATCAGTAAACAGCCATTTAATTCAATCAAATCTACAAACAGAAAGAACAACTGGCAGGATAAATGCCTGTCTTAATTCAGGAATCACAACCTGAAAGATGGAAGCAGAGGTACCCGGTGCCAAAAGCTGAAGCCGGAGTGGAAGCCCACACATAAGTCTTTCCACCGTGATTGGTCCAGGCTAAAGTTGAGCTCCACTGAAAGCGTTAGGCTGATTGGTTTCTCACCAAACCTTTCCTACCCTCTCAACTCTTTTCTCAGACATTTCTACCATCTACCAACCTTCTTCATCAGGGAGACTGATACCAGGAGGAATGCAGGAAGGACAGACATGGGCAGCCCTGGAACATCTGATGGCCTAATAATTCTGGATGTTTTCAGAAATATGGTCATTTCCAGGAAAAGTATACAATTTCCAAGTGTCCCTTAACAGCTTATGTCTCTGGGTTTACAATTCCCAAGAGCTCAATTTTTTTTTTTTACAGTAAGACAGCACCAATTGTGATTTTAGAGAACTTGTTTTTAATAAAATGCAGCTTGTTTAGATCAATATATTTTGCTTCTTTAAAATAAAATTTCAATCCGATTACCTATTTCAGGACAACCTTGAAAGAAAAAAGCTTGCTTATGACATATTTTGTTGACAACATTTTTCTTCAGCACAAAATTACTTCCAGTCACCTTCATTGCACAGGCAAATGTGCAGGCTGGGGTGGGAAGTAGGTAAATCAACTTGCAATTATTGTAGAATGTTCATGAATTGTCCAGTATTTGTGAGGCCAGAAACCAATCTAAAAACATGCAGATTGGATCCCATATCTAAGCTCTAAAGATTAGAAACTGAGTTATTAAAATTTTGCTGTTCTGCTTCACAAAATAGATGCATGTAAGGAAAAAATTGATACCATTACATTGCAGCACCTAGCACTTTAAAAACCCTAGTGATAACTTGTTGCCTGTCAGGGAAAAGATAACTCTGACAGTTTGCCTAAATATGGCTTTCTTTAGGAGCAGCATATTTAAGTTATTCTATATGATGTGTGCTGCATTATAACAAATTGTCTTCAGATGTCTCATTCTTCAAGGCACTCAAACTACTGTATACAGTACTGCTCTGCCCTTATGCTCCTGTTATTTTTTTTATGCCTCTGCCCATAGCCAAGTGAAGAAAATTGTAGTTGTATGGAGGTCAAAGTTTATTTCTAATTAAAGTAGAATGAAAGGGGACACACCAAAATCCCCCAAAAGACACACAATGTGTGAGGCACCGGCTTTCCAGTAGTAGAGTCACTTGCGGCTCATGCTCACTATGGCCACTCTGACTTGGGGACACCGTCCAGATCCGGCACCCTGACACCACCAGTGCTTCTACAGAGCTACTCCGATACTGCTGAGCAGTCCCATTTATGCATTAAAACCTCAGAATGCTAATACTTGGAAAGTGCAGGAGAGATTCCAGGGAGGGTAGATATCTGAGGACCAAAGACCTATAAATTAAAATCAAAGTTGAGTATAAAATCAAAGTTGATATAGGGAACTAGCAAAGGTCAGCTTTCCACCTGCTGTCATGATGGGTGTCAGTTAAATCTAGTCGAGATTTTAGTGCTATGTGGTCATACCCCTAAACGTATCACATCAGCTTAGCATGGATGGTTCAGATCTTTTTGAACCTCCCATGCAATGTTTCTCCATATATTCAGCCAAAATATTCCAGCAAGGTGGTCAGGGACTCACTGAAACCCAGATTTTCTAAATGCAAATTAGAGTATGAGCCTGAAATAACTATGAGATTTACTATGAATCTTAGAGATGCCCTGGATGCCTATTTTCATAAATAAGCTGTTCTATGATTTTATAAGCTTCTGAAAATTTTAATCTACAGATAAATATGAAAGTTGCAGAAATTTCCGTTCAAATAGCTATGACCTCATTCTTTTAAGAAGAATCAGGTTGGTGTCCAGTGGTCAGTCTCTAGAAGCAGGGGGCTGCTGGGTTGGCTAGCTGGACCTCCATAGATTGGCTTGTCAAGAAACAAAGAACTTAAATGGGCATCCAGGCAACATGTGCTTCAAGTTCACATTGGTTCCTCTTGCCCTCCAAGTCCCATGATGGCGATGCAGAGATGGGCCTTGGCAGACACTGTCCCAGCTGAAGACTTCCTGGTTAGATACATTACACGCCGGATGCTGGCAACCTGCCCCACCTCTCCAGAAAGACGCATTTTCCTTACTGCCAGTTTTCTCTGGAGAAGAGAGGGAGATGGCCCAACTTTCTCACCTGGAATGTCTCTGGGCAGAGATGTGTGTAAATCTCTCTGATTTGAGACATTATTTTTATCTTTCCAAGGGTGTCTGAGAACTTTCTTGAACAAAGTTGTCAATACCCATTGTTCACAGGATGTGCAGAAACACCAGACCTATGGAGAATTATCTCTCAACAGCATATTTTCATATTCCTTCTTTAAGCCAAACCATGGATGCTCTCCTATTTAGCATAAGTTTTGAGTTTTAAAGTTCTAATTAGTTAAGCAAATTACTTTTGTTTCTGAAAGCTTATTCACAATTGGAACTTAACATATTGGGAATGTCAGAGCTGCAATGATTTCAGAAAGGGCATTTTCTTTGTTCCATATTTATCTGCTAAAATCATTTGCATATATTATTAGTTCTTCACAGAAAAAAAATCCACCACAGTGATCCATTTGTAGTTTCTAATATGTTTCAATAATTTTCCATTTTAAAATACTATTATAGTTTAAAGTATAACTGTTACACCTATCAAAGTAGATGCATACCTCATAGCATTTATTATGATGGCTCCCAATTTTGAAACTCTCTCCTGGCATGTACTACTCAGGGGTATTTTCATGAAAAGTGGTTTTTTTTGGATGAATAATGATTGAAACAAGCTGGAAGAGTGAAGAAAGAA